>NW_025791766.1:0-300000 GCF_000001405.40 Homo sapiens
GAATTCTAAAATCCAGAAAACATCAAAGACAAGGAGCTTCCAGAGCAGATTACCTGCAAAAGGCACAAGAACCATACTGACATTGCTTTTCCCACAGAAAAAGTGGATCCAAGAAGCCAGTTGAGTGATAATTTTAGAACATGAAAAGAAAATAATTTCAAGTCCAGAAATTTTTTATGCAAAAGGTATAGCCTAAATGTAAGACCTTAATAAAGATGTTCTCAGGCACAAAGGCCTTGGAAAATTACCACATAAAAAAACACTTTGGAAATGCTCTAGGGGAAGTATTCAAATAGGAAGGGAAACCAAGAGGATGCTGCAAGGTATTAGGAAATGTGAGGGCATTTATGTAACTTAGCAAATATTATTGTTTAAAAACTTAATAACCAAAAATAAAAAAGAGAGAAAGTATACCTATAACAATCTGGAATTGATTTTCTGCACAATATCAAAATGCTCATGGTCATGATAGACATAAAAATATGTTAAAATTATTGTTTTGCTTGAAGAGTAATATGTTGATAAATAAATTCATAGTAGTAAATGAACATAAATATAGGACTTAAGGGCAATTATATAACGAAAAGCAAAAGCATTCAATTTTGTCTATCCAGTGAAAACAGAAAAGGAAAAAAGATAAAGTACAATACATAGATAATATAAAATAAGTCCCAGAAATGTTAATAACTTTAAATGAGTAAAATTGATCAATGAATTCTAGACACCCTTGAATAAAATGGAAAAAAACCCAAACACAAGATCCAACAATGTGCCATCTACATGAAATGTACTGAAAGCAAAGTAAAATGACAAGTTGAAAATTAGGCCAGGTGCAGTGGCTCATGCCTGTAATCTCAGCATTTTGGGAGGCTAAGGTGGGAGTTGAGGCTGCAGTGAGCCACCGCACTCCAGCCTGGGTGACAGAGTGAGACTCTTTCTCTAAAAAAAGAAAAGTAAAGAATAGAAAAAGAGGCCGGTCGCGGTGGCTCAAGCCTGTAATCCCAGCACTTTGGGAGGCCAAGGTGGGTGGATCACCTGAGGTAGGAGTCCGAGACCAGCCTGACCAACATGGAGAAACCCCGTCTCTGCTAAAAATACAAAATTAGCCAGATGTGGTGGTGCATGCCTGTAATCCCAGCTACTTGGGAGGCTGAGGCAGGAGAATCGCTTGAACCCGGGAGGCAGAGGTTGTGGTGAGCCAAGATCATGCCATTGCACTCCAGCTTGGACAACAAGAGCAAAACTCCGTCTAAAAAAAAAAAAGAAAAAGATATGGACAAAAAGAAAAAAAGAAAGTTGGGTACCAGTCTTTCTATCTGATGAAACAGATCCTTGACAAAAATCATAACAAGAGACAAAAGCATTGTTATATGCTAAGAAAAGGAACCACAGAACAAGAACATATAGTCATTAAGAATATATATACAGTAAAAACATAGCCTCAAGATATATTAAATCACAACTGACTGCACTCAGAGGGGAATCAATTATCAATAATAGAGATTTTAACTACAAGCTGATATATCAGCAAATAAAAACTAAGCAGAGAAATATAAAATCTGAATAATATTATTAATAATATCCAGGCTGGGTACAGTGGCTCACACCTGTAATCCAGCATTTTAGAAGGCCAAGGTGGGAGGTTGAGGCTGCAGTGAGCCACTGCACTCCAGCATGGGTGACAGAGCAAGACCATGTCTCAAGAAAATAAAAAATACCTAGCTGCTAAATATATATTGAATTCTACACTAAACAGAGAATACATTCTTTTTTTAGTTCACATGTAATATTTACAAACATTTACCATATACTAAATAACAAAGGAAACCTCAATTAATTCTACAGAATCAATATTATACAGGATTTTTTTTGTTTTTTTGTAAAGGACCAGATAGTAAATATTTTTGGTTTTGTGAGTGTCTACCTTAATTACTGAACTGTGCAGTTGTAGCACAAAATCAGTTGTAGACAATACATAAGTGAATATGTGTGGCTGTGTTTTGTGAGATATATATAAATTAAAGGATACACTTAAAACTCATTAGAATTATTGCCTGTGTCTACACAGGCAGGGTGGTGGTGTGGGTGGGAAAACAGGCTTTGGGGAATAGGGCTAAAAAAAATAACAAACTCAAGAAATGCCTTGCCCAGAACAAGTATGATAATGGCCAGGAACCGATGGGAATGATTAACTCTACATTTGAGGTCCAGAATGTTACAGACCAGCTGTACTGTGTTTTCAACTACTTGTACTCATTTGTCTCTGAGTGCACTGATGTTTAATTGGCTGCCCATTTAGCAGTTATAGTCTGATAATTACAGTTTAAACATTATTATAATGTTGTATTTCATCTTTTGGTAATTTTTTTGGTATAGCTATTTTTGCAAAAGCATTTGTTGTCTATGATTTGTATCTCATTTTAACTACATAATCAATTGATGTAATTGATTTGGCTCCTCCTATTACATTGCAGTCAAGGAAATATTGCCCAAATATGCATAGCCCTGTGAACAATAAGAAACAAAAATGTTCAGATTTTAAAATTTCATAAAGGCTTAACACCAATCTTAAACTGTACGTTTATTTATTATACTTATTTACTTTTGTTGTACCCAATGACTAAAATAAGCCCCTATTAAAGACCTTGAAATTGTTCATCAATAGCAAATAAAATTTTCCTGAGGATTCTTTTAAAAACAGATTTGGCTTGAGTATTGAAATCTATTTGCTATCCTAGGATAGGGAAAGATATCTCACATGTATAGAGCAAATACCACAAGCCAGGTGCTATACATGTGTTATTCCAATTAATTTTCAAAACAGTTTCTAGAGCAGGCAGTATAATCCCACTTAACAGATGGAGAAACTGAGATTCAGATAAATCAAATAATCTGCCCACGGGCTCATATCCAGTAAGTGGTGATGTTAGAATACAAACTGAATAAACATGAGTTTTAGATCAGTATTCAATGTTTAAAACATTATAACAGAACTTGAGTTCCAGCGTGGTGGTGTAAGCCTCTACAGGCCATCTCTCTTGCCAATTAAAACTAAAATTGCAAGACAAATAAAAAAAAAAAACAACACTACCAAAGGACTCTGAAAAGTTGGCAGGGGGGCAGGTAGATCATGGAGGGGAGTCAAAAATTGAACAAACAACCAATGTGGAGGTGAACTTCCTTTTGTTTCTCCTCTTCTCTTGTGGCCTTGCCTCAAGGCTGAGCTGTGGTTGTAGAGCAGTGCAAAGACATCTGTGGCTAAAGTTCAAACAGAAACCTATTGTTTATGGCTAAGTAAACCAGGAAAATGAGCTCCTGCAGGCCTAAGAGTAGGGGATAGAGGAGAGAACCATAGAAGGGGATCCACTAATTTGGCATATGAGCCCATACCAGTCTCAGCATAAGCCCTGAGCTATGGATGCTTGGACAAATACAAATATTTGAACTAAATGATTAAATATTAGAGTGTCTAACTGCTGAAGAGGACATGTGCAGGATACATGCAAACAAAGGTGACAAAGGCTTAGAGGACTGAAGCAGGATTTGAACCACCTGCACAACTTTCAGAATAACCTGTAAGTGTAAATGAACAAGATAGACATGAAGCAGCATAACAAAGCCTTAGAGAACTAAACTGAACTACCACAGAAGGCAAGGTAGAAATTACATTCTGAGCTTAATAATGTTGATTGCCTGCTAAAACAAAAACATAAACATCCTCCAGAGAATGATGACGTGATCCAGTCTATCCAATACAAAATTCACAATTTTCAAGATACAATACAAAATTACTAAACATAAAGAAAAACTAGGAGATGTGAATAATTATCTAGGGAAAACGTAATCAACAAATGCCAACCTGAAGATAACCTAGATGGTGGAATTATCAGATAGAAATTTTAAAACAGCTTTTATAACTATGCTCCATGAGGCAAGGAAAAACAAACTTGAATGAAAAGAGAGGTATTGTTAGCAAAGAAATAGAAACTATAAAAAGAATCAAATAAAAATTTCAGAGCTGAAAAATACAATCTCTGAAACAAACAATAAAACCACTGGATGGGCTCAATAGTAGGATAGACAAGACAGAGGAAAGAATAAGTGAAATTGAAGATAGATTAATAGAATTATCTAATAAGAACCAATCAAAACTAGATTAAAAAAATAAACAGAGCCTTGGGGATCTGTGAAAAAATATAAAAAGATATATGTGTAGTTGGAGTTCCAAAAGGAGAAGAAAAAGAGATTGTTGCAGTAAAGCTATTTGAAGAAATAATGGCCAAAAATGTCCCAAGTTTGATGAAAGACACAAATTTACAAATTCAAGAAGCCTAGCAAACCCTAGACAAGATAAACTTAGAGAAAACCACACTTAGAAACTTCATAATAAAAGTACTCAAAACCAAAAACTAAAGAAAATATTTGAAACCAACCAGAAAAACAACACTTTACCCACAGAGGAACAATGATTTGAATGTTTACAGGTTTTTCACTAGAAATTATGGAGGCGTGAACATAATGGAATCATCAACCCAATTTTTGTTTGTTTGTTTGTTTTGTTTGTTTGTTTGTTTGTTTTTATACAGGGTTTCTTACTCTGTTGCCCAGGCTGGAATGCAGTGGCATGATCATAGCTCATTGCAGCCTTGACCTCCTTGGCTCAAGCAGTCCTCTAGCCCCAGCCTCCCGAATAGCTGGGACTATAGCCACATGCCACCATGCCCAGCTAATTTTTATTTTCATTTTTTGTAGAGACAAGGTCTTGCTATGTTGACCAGGCTGGTCTTAAACTTCTGGCCTCAAGTGATCCTCTTGCCTTGGCTTCCTAAAATGCTGGATTACAGGCATGAACCACCATGCTTGGCAACCCAGAATTTTATATTCAGCAAAAATATTCTTCAGGAATGAAGGTGAAAGACAGTTAAAGGGAAACAGAGGAACAAAAATCAGAAGGAACAACATAGAACAAATAATAAAATAATAAGCTAAATCAAACCATATCAATAATTACATTGGGCCTGGTACAGTGACTCACACCTGTAATCCCAGCACTCTGGTGGATCACTGGAGCTCAGGAGATCTAGACCAGCCTAGGCAATGTAGCAAAACCCTGTCTCTACAAAAAATACAAAAATTAGCTGGGCATGGTGGTGCATACCTGTAGTCCCAGCTACTCCGGGGTGTTGAGGCAAGAGGACCCCAGCTACTCCAGGGGGCTGAGGTGGGAGGATCACTTGATCCCAGGAAGTCAAGGCTGCAGTGAGCCGTGATTGCATCACTGCACTCCAGCCTGGGTGACAAAGTGAGACCTTGTCTGAAAAAAACAAAAACAAAAACAAAAAAAAACTTGAAAAAAAATTACATTAAATATTAGCCAATTTGTGCTGGGATCATAGCAGGAGGAATACTTAAGGCCAGGAATTTGAGATGAGCCTGGGCAACATAGCAAGACATAGCCTCTAAAAGAATTTTTAAAAATTAGCCAGGCCTGGTGGCACACACTTGTAGTCCCAGCTACTTGGAAGGCTGAGGCAGGAAGGATTGCTTGAGCCCTGGTGTTTGAGGTTGCAGTGAGCATGATTGCCCTCCAGCCTGGGCAACAGAGCAAGACTCTGTCTGAAAAAAAAAAAAGGAATTAGCCAATTAACATTTATAGATTAGTGGAATTGAATTGAGAGTCTGGAAATGAAATCTTACATATTTATGGCCAGTTGCTTTCAACAAGGCTACCAAGATAATTCAATGGGAGAAAGAATGGTCTTTCCAAAAAATGGTGCTGGGAAAACTGTATGTCCACATGCAAAGAATGATGTTGGACCCCTACCTCACAATATATACAAAAATCAACTTGAAATGGATCATAGACCTAAATGTAAGAGCTACATTAAATTTCCATATAAATTTTAGTAAGTTTGTCAATTCCTATAAGGAAGCCAGCTGAGATTTTGATAGGGATTTCATCGAATAGATAGATAAATTTGGGGAATATTCCCATCTTAATCATATTAAGTCTTCCCATCCATGAACGTGGATGTCTTTCTATTTATTTAGATCTTCTTCAATTTCTTTAAACAATGTTTTGTAGTTTTCAGGATATAAGTTTGTACTTCTTTTGTTAAATCTATTCCTAAGGATCTTACCCTTTTTGAAGTTATTGTAAATGAAATTGTTTTCTTAAATTCTTTTTTATTATTCATTGCAAATGTACAGAAATGCAATTGATTTGTATGTATTCATGTTGTATTCTGCAACTTTGCTGAACTTATTAGTTTTAGTGATTTTTTTTTTAGTGGATTACCTAGTATTTTCTGTATACAAAATTATGTCATGTGTGAATAGATAACCTTACTTGTTCCTGTCCAATTTGGATGCCTCTTATTTCATTGTGTACCTAACTACTGTTTGTAATTACCTAATTACCTGACAGAACCTCCAGTACAATGTTGAAGATAAGTGGTAAGAGTGGACATCCTTGTCTTGTTCCAAATCTTAGGGGGAAAGCATCCAGTCTTTCACCATTATCCATGGATTTTTCATAGATATCCTTTATGAGGTTAAATAAGTTTCCTTCTATTCATAGTTTGTTGAGTGTTTCTATCATGAAATTACATTGGATTTTATCAAATGGTTTTTCTGCATCTATTGAGATGATCATGGGGTTTTGCCCTTTATTCTCATGATATACTGTATAATGTTGATTTTTGGATGTTAAGCCAACCTTGTTTTCCTGGGACAAATCCTTCTTGGTCATAATATATAATCTCTTTTAAGGAAATGGTTTATTAGATGTGACACCAAAACTACAACCAACCAAAGAAAAGCAGACAAATTGAACTTCACAAAAGTTAAAAACTTGTGTGCTTCAAAGGACACCATCAAGAAAGTAAAAAGACAACCCACAGAATGGAAAAAAAAATTTGCAAATCATATATCTGAGAAGAGAATTGTACTTAGAATATATAAATAACGGTTACAACTTAATAATGAAAATACAAATAACCCAATTTACTTGTATTTAAATAAAGGATTTGAGTGGACATTTCACTAAAGAAGATGTACAAATGGCCAATAAACACATACAAAGATGCTCAATATCAGCTGGACACTGTGGCTCACACTTGTAATCCCAACACTGTGGAGGGCCATGGTGGGAGGATTGTTTGAGCCAGGAGTTTGAGATCAGCCTGGACAACATAGTGAGACCCTATCTTAAAAAAATATGCTCAATATCATTAGCCACCAGAGAAATGCAAATGAAAGCCACAATTAGACACCACTTCACACCCACTAGGAGAGCTAAAATTAAAAAGACAGACAATGAAAAGCATTGATGAAGATGTGGAAAAAGTAAAACCCTCATACATTGCTGGTGGGATTGCAAAATGATGCAGCCACTTTGGGGGACAGTTTGGAAGTATCTTAAAAAGTTAAACATAGTTAAATTAACAGAGACAGAAAGTAGAATGGTCGTTGCCAGGGGTTGGTGGGGCAGATAAAACAGGAAGTTACCGTTTAATGAGTAGAGAGTTTCAGTTTTGCAAGTAGAAAAAAGTTCTGGAGATGGATGCTGGTGATGTTTCCACGACAGTGTGAATGTACTTGATGCCACTGAACTGTACACTTAAAATTTGTTAGAGTGGCTAATTTTATGTTATGTATGTTTTACCACAATTAAATAAAAAGTTAAACATAGAATTCCATAGGACCCACCAATGGCAATTGTGGATATCTACTCAAGAAAAATGAAAACGTATGTCCACACAAAAACAAGTACATGAATATTCACAGCAGCTCTATTCATGATAACTAAAAAGTGGAAACAGCCCAAATGTTCATCAACTAAGCAAAATGTGGAATATCCATACATTGGAATATTGCTTGGCAATACAAAGGAATTAAGTATTGATACATGATATAACATGGGTGAATCTTGAAAACATTATGCTATGTGAAAGAAGTCAGTCACGAAAGATCACATATTGGATGATTCCATTTATATGAAATGACTAGAATAGGCAAATCCATAGAGACAGTAGATTGTGGTTACAAGGGCCTGCAGACGGGGGAGAATGGAGAATGACTGCTAATGGGTGTGGGGTTTCTTTTTGGGGTGATGAAAACACTCTAAACTAGACGATAGTGAAGATTGCATAGTTCTGTGAAAACACTGAAAATGACTGAGTTGTACACTTTGAAAGAGTGAATTGTATGGGCTGTGAGTTATATCTCAGTAAAACTGTTATTTAAAAATTGCACATATGCAGAGAAATGTATCTAGAATAATGTCCACCAAATGTATGCAATTTGAGGTGATTTGTTGTTTTTATATATCACTTACATTTTAAAATAAGGAACATGAATTAATTTTTATAAAAATAAGTCATCGTTTTCAAAGAAGTAATGGGGCAAGTGAATCCAGAGTGTAGAGGTCTCACAACTTAAAGGAAGGGGAGTGGCTGTTCAGTGGAAGGTAGAGCCGATTTTGGGGAGAAAAACTTTGTGTTTCCAGTGGCTGTGTCTGCTGTGCCCATGCTTGCTGAAGCAATGCAAATTTCATTAGCATGGTTACAATTAGTAACATAACTTCATTTTTATGTTCTCCTAACCTAAGCTGAGTAATTTTCAAATTTAAAAAAAAACTCAACTCCTCATGATACAGTTTTACTGAACTCAAAGAGGATCTGTTGGGACAGATAATTTACTGACAGAAAAGCTACTTTCAAAGAGGCAAGAACAGAAATATCTGCTTTCCGTGGTGTGCCTCTGATTTATTCATGGAAAAAAGTATGCCTGCAAACATTATCTCAGCAGGCCAAGCCATAATTAGAGCTCTAATTTTCCTCCAGGCACTTTTTCCTGAATTGTCCTAAGGACCCAATGAGAGGTGCCTATACAACCATGATAATGGTTCTGAACATTTTCAGTGCCAGCACACTACAGGGCTGATGTGTGGGAAGTAGGAAGTCACATGGTGCGATAGGAGAAAAGCAACTGCCTGACCGTAAGGCTTGCATCCACATTCCTCCCTCTCACAAAGGTTAGCTGGGAAGACCCACAGAATCCCCATAAACCTTTCCCCAAAGAAAAGACCCATTTCTTTGAACCACCCATCCCAGAGAGAGTTTGCCTTGGTAACCAGAGTATCTGGAACAAGATGAAGATAATCAGTAAAACCAAAAGGGAACTGAGCAGGCTTTGAGAAATTTCCTTTGCTTCAAAAATAATAAGAGCTAGTAGCCAATGACAGGTGAAAGGACAAGTGTCTAAACATCTGTCACCATTGATTTCTGCATACCTCCAATATCTTGATTTCAAGCATATCTCTTTTTATTTTTTATTTTTGTTTTTATTTTTGAGACAGAGTCTCACTCTGTCACCCAGGCTGGAGTGCAGTGGTACGATCTCGGCTCACTGCAACCTCCACCTCCCAGGTTCAAGCGATTCTTCTGCCTCAGCCTCCCATGTAGCTGGGATTACAGGCATGCGTCACCAACACCCGGCTAATTTTTGTATGTTTTTAGTAGGACGGGGTTTCACCATGTTGGCCAGGATGGTCTGGAACTCCTGACTTCAAGTGATCCGCCCACTTCAGCTTCCCAAGTGCTGGGATTACTACATGTGTGAGCCGCCACGCCTGGCCTCAAGCATACCTCTTTTTGATTACCACCTCCTATCCTTCCAGTGCATTTGCTTTAGTAACCCATTCCAACAATTCCTTTTTTTTTTAAATTTTTAATTGTTAATTTTTTTTTTTTTTGAGACGGAGTCTTGCTCTGTCACCCAGGCTGGAGTGCAGTGGCGTGATCTTGGCTCACTGCAACCTCCGCCTCCCAGGTTCAAGTGATTCTCCTGCCTCAGCCTCCTGAGCAGCTGGGACTACAGGGGCGTGCCACCATGCCCAGCTAATTTTTGTATTTTTAGTAGAGACAGGGTTTCACCATATTGGCCAGGCTGGTCTCGAACTCCTGACCTCAAGTGATCCACCTGCCTTGGCCTCCAAAAGTGCTGGGATTACAGGCGTGAGCCACCGCACCCAGCCCTAAATTTTTTTTTTTTTTTTTTTTTTTTTTTAGAGACAAGGCCTCACTGTCACCCAGGCTAGAGTGCAGTGGCATGATCATAGCTCACAGCAGTCTCAAACTCGGGTTCAAACGATCCTGCTGCCTCGGCTGCCCAAAGTGCTAGGGTTACAGGGGTGAGTCACTGCGCCCAGCCCCAGCAATTCTTTAACTGTCCTGAAATCTCAGTTCATTGATTTTCATTATTGAACAACAGCTTCATGATTTCACTTCAGTTCTTACCCAAAGCATCTAAGACTCAGGGAAGTTGTGAGTCTACGTGTTTATTTATTTTTACTTGATTTCCTTTGGTTCACCTACTTCTAAAACCAGTTGAAGATGGATTGAAATAGCAAAACTCTCATGACAGAATAGAGTACAGATTTAGAAAAGGAAATCAAAATTATTAAAATGTCAATCACATGGGAATTGGTTATGTAATTGGAGGAGGAAACACCCTTTCTTATCCTCTCTTTCACTGTCAGAGATTGGAGTGAGGGCAGGCCTTGGCTAATCATTGAACTTGGCTGAGGGTAAAGGGAACGGGCAACTGTGAAGACAGTCCTTTGAGTAGCTAAGCAGTGGTTCTTGAGAGCCAGATAGTTTAACAATGGGCCTTGATCTTGGGCCCAGAACACTAGTGGTTTGAAGGGAGTGAAGACCTATTGAGAGAGTGAGGTGAGCAGGAGGAAGTCACACTGTTCTGCATAGTGTCAGGTGCTCTCTCTCCCGTGACTAGGGACTGTCATTAGATTTATGTGCTACTAACGACAACCTTTTCTTTGGCAATATAAATTTGGACTGTGCTGTCTCCAAGAAATTAGTTCTTACCCTTTGGAAATATATGTGAGTGTGTATGTGTGTTTCATCAATAGTTACCTGTCGGACATCGGAAGACAAAAAGGAATAGCTACATCTCACCCCATGTGGTGGACAGACTCTAAGACTCCCATGATTTTCTTGTTCAGGTATCCACACTTTTTGTAATACCTCCCTTGAGTGTAGGTGGGACCTGTGACTTGTTTCTAACCAATAAAATATGGCAAAGATGATGGGATATCATACTTGTGACATTATATTATGTAAAACTCCATCTTGCTAGCCAACTCACACTGACAGACTCCCTGTCACTGGTTCTGAAGAAGGAGGCTGACATGTGGCAAAAAACTCTGGGTAGCCTCTTGGAGCTGAGAGAAGCCCCCAGCAAGAAATCAAAACCCTCAGTCCTGCAGCTGCAAGGAAATGAGTTCTTGCAACAACCTGTGGGAGCTTGGCAGTGGGTCCTTTCCTAGTGAGACTGCAGCCTCAGCTGACATCTGGATTGTAGCCTGGTGAGGCCTGGAGACAGAGCAACTCAGCTAAGTCATGCCCAGGCTTCTGAGCTACAGAAACTGTATGGTAATAATTTGTGTTGTTGTAAGCCACTAAGTTTATGGTAATTGGTCCTGTAGCAATAGATAACTAATACATCCTGGATGGTGGGAGCATTTTTGGAAACATGGGAGAAATTGGTTGGAGAAGTGGTACGGAATCAAAAGTTCTGTTTTAGCCACGTTAAATTTTAGCTTCCTAGGAGGTATCTGAGTGAGATGTCAAGCAAGCAATTAGATATGTAACCCTGGAGCTTAAGGGAGAGACAGAACTAGAATATAATTTTGGGAGTCATCAGAGGATGACATTTAAAGTCATGAAACTAGATGAGCTCTCTACAGAGAAAGTGAAGGGCAAAAAGGAAGAGAGCCCAGATTGAACACTGGGGTACACCAGCATTTAGCAGTTGATCAGAGGAGGAGGAGCAATCAGAGGAGATGAAAGATTAACCAGAGAGGTTGAAGGGAAACCGAGAAACTGTAGTGTCCCGATAGACAAGAAGGAAGGAATCGTATCTGTATTGAATGTTAATACGGGGTTCAGTAAGATGAGGATAGAGAAGTGGCCACATGGAGGTCACTGGTGACCTTGACAAAATCAGTTTCAGGCCAGGCATGGTGGCTCACACCTGTAATCACAGCATTTTGGGAGGCCAAGGCAGGTGGACCACTTGAGGTCAGAAGTTCGAGACCAACCTGGCCAACATGGTGAAACCCCATCTCTATTAAAAATACAAAAAATTAGCTCTGCGTAGTGGCAGGAGCCTGTAATCCCAGCTACTCAGGAGGCTGAGGCAGAAGAATCGCTTGAACCCAGGAGGCGGAGGTTGCAGTGAGCCGAGATTGTGCCATTGTACTCCAGCCTGGGTGACAGAGCGAGACTTCGTCTCCAAAAAAAAAAAAATCAGTTTCAGTGGAATGGAGAAGTGAAATAAGAACCAGGTGTGAGAGGGATGAGGAGTTAATAAGAGGTGAGGGGCTGCTAAGGGTGAATATAGGCAATTTGTTTGAAAAGTTTTATTCTGAAGAAAGAGCATTGGGTCAATAGCTGGAGAAAGATATAGGAACAAGGGTAGGGTTTTCAAAGATAGGAGATCATAAGACATGCTTGTAAGCTGATGAGAATAGTTTAGTAGAGAGGGAGAAATTAATAATGCAAGAGAACAAGAGAATGGTTTCAAGAGCAAGCTCTTAAGGCAAAAGGGGCTGGGATTGAGAGCTCAATGGAAGAGTTGAACTTAGATGGGTTTAGGGATTCACCCACTGTGAGAGGGAGGAAGTCAGTGTATGGATATAGATAGGAGGCGGCAGATCTGGTGGTGGAAAGGGGAGAATATTCCTGTTTGACTGTCACAGTGATTAGTAATATATGATTAGTTGAGGTCATCAGCTGAGAAAAGGGGGTGGAAAAGGTGTTGGAGTTTTGAGGATATAGGAGAAGCTTTAAAGTAGCCTTCTTTAGGAGAGGTACCCCCATCTCAGTAGAGAGATACAGGATTATCAGGCAGTATGGATTTACAATCCCACTTTAGATTTGCACTCATGAATTTAAAGTGAAACCAGCCCAAACAGCAAGACAGCAGACATTGGGGAGAATCAGGTTAAACCATAATTTTCAATTCCTCAGGTGCATAAACATGCAGATAGTCGAGCTTGTCCAGGAAGTGCAGTGGAAGAAGAGAGGGTTGAGGAATTAAGGTTATAAATGAGTCTGTGTAGTGAGGAGTGTGGGTACAGAGGTTTGTGAGTAAGACAAGAGGGAGGGAGAGTGGGAGAGGGCCAGAGTCACTGGATTGGAGGTCTCAATCAGTCAAAAATTGCCTGAAGTGGGGCTACTAGAATTAGGAAGCTAAAAGGATGGGTGGCAGTCAGAGAGACAGATGCTTGAAATTGAGATATTTGGAGGCAGCACATTGATCCATAATGACAGCTATTTGGATACTTGTCCTTTGGCCTTATCGATCATCTGAACCTTTGAAATCTTAAACTCTCATGATTCATATAGACCACAGCCTCCAACTATTTAAGCTCACTCATTCTCTTATTCCTAAAATAGTGGAATCACATCATTCATGTTTTTAACTAATTTAAATTCGGTTCTACAGTCTGGGGAAAAAATGACAGCGGGTAAGACAGAACAGTTTAAATAGCACAGTTGCCTCACTGACTTTCCTTTCAAGAGTGTGTGCTGGGGAGTGAGGATGAGGTGGGAGCCATGAGTCTGCTGTTTCCTAGGTTGACCTCAGTTCCCTTGTACCTCTTATCGCGGGATTGTCTCACGGCCTTCACTGTGATTCCAGTGTTTAAAGAGCACTTCCTCTTGTTGTCAATATGGCCTCTAAACACATGCCAACTGCTTTATGGGCTGCTCAGCCAATGACAGAGTTCTGGGCTAATGCTGGCCATGTAGTTCTGACTGGAAAACAGTATATTGGGTGTCAGTGCAAATAATATATTAAGGGTGATTTAAGGCATTTCCAAAGGTAAATTTGACCACCTAAAATGTATGCCCCAAGTGCTGGCTAAATTTTGAATCCAGGCCCTCCAATGATGCAGCTCCACTATATTCCCATTTTGGCCACAATTGGACCCTCCGTCTCTTGTCCACTACATTTTCTCCCAATGAAATCCACACCCTCATGCTGTCATTTCTTTCCTATTGAATCTGGACCCCCAGAATGCCCCCTTCTGTCCTTTCCATTTCGCCAGACCCTCTTGCCTCTTGTCCCACCAGTGTGCTTGGCCTCCAGAACCTTAAGCCTCAGTTGATTCAAGCATTCCCTTGCTCAGCCGAATGCTGCTGAAAATATTCATGTAAGAGTAATTTCCAATCATGGTTTCCAGCTTCACCTGGCCCCTCATACCTGCTCCTTAATTAATCCTTCTGTATGTCAGAAATTATGCCGTTACCCATCTCTCCAGTGGTTCATCTAACCTCTTTGCCTTTTTCTCACATCCCCTCCCGTACTAACTCCCTCTCGGGTAAGGACTTGCCTATTCCACTGGGAAAATTGAGGCCATCAGGCAAGAACTTTCCCAACTAGAAACTAAACCCACCCTTCCTTCCTTCCTTCCTTCCTTCCTTCCTTCCTTCCTTCCTTCCTTCCTTCCTTCCTTTTTGAGACAGAATCTCACTCTGTCACCCAGGCTAGAGTGCAGTGGCATAATCATGGCTCACTGCAGCCTCAACCTCCTAGGCTCAAGTGATCCTCCTGCCTCAGCCTCCTGACTAGCTGGGACTATAGGCGTGTACCACCATGCCTGGCTAATTTTTATATTTTTTTTTGTAGAGATAGGGTCTTGCTCTATTGCTCAGGCTGGTCTTAAACTCCTGGCCTCAAGCAGTCCTCCTGCCTTGGCCTCCTAAAGTGCTTGGATTACAGGTGTGAGCCACTGCATCTGGCCCCAAACCCTCCCTCTTGACCCATCCCTTATCTTTTCCTCCTGCCTCAGTGAAAGGTATTTCTCTCCCATCTAGGCTTGGAATGCCTCTCACCTTCTCAGGAATCTGCTCACTACAGCTCCTGTCTCCTCTGTATCTTCAGCCTCTTTTCATACATGCTGCGTTTCCTTCAGCACTTGCTCAAGCCAAATCCTGTCTCATTCCTATCCTCTAACTCTCCATTACTTAATAGCCAGGCTATTTGAAAGAGTCAGCTGCAAGAACTACTTCACTCAAAAACCACTGCAGCTCTGTGTCTGTCCCCACCATGCTGGTGAAACTCTCTTCCTTGAGATCATCCATTACTTCCAGGATGCCAAATTCAATGGACCATTATCTTTCCTTCTCCTTCTCTTATGTGACTTCTCTATTACTTTATTCCTCCTTGAAATTCTCTCTTTTTTTTTTTTTTTTTTTGACAGAGTCTCGCTCTGTCACCCAGGCTGGAGTACAGTGGGGCGATCTTGGCTCACTGCAAGCTCTGCCGCCCAGGTTCATGCCATTGTCCTGCCTTAGCCTCCAGAGTAGCTGGGACTACAAGCATGTGCCACCACGCTCAGCTAATTTTTTTGTATTTTTAGTAGAGATTGGGTTTCACCGTGTTAGCCAGGATGGTCTTGATCTCCTGACCTCGTGATCCGCCTGCCTCGGCCTCCCAAAATGCTGGGATTACAGGCATGAGCCACCGCGCCCGGTCTGGTTTTTTGGTTTTTATCATACCACACTGTCCTGATTTTCCTTCCCCCTGTTTGAACCAACTAAGCATCCGTAAAAACCTTCCTCCTCACTCTGACAATGAAGGAAAGGGCTCCCATTACAATCTTAAAATCCATAAAGCTGTGGCCAATTATACCAATTTCTTAGGCCAATGACTCTCAAACTGTGGTCCTGGACCAGCTACCTCAGCATCACCTGGGAACTTGTTAAAATGCAAATTACTGGACTCCACCCCAGAACTACTGAATCAAAAACTTTGGGGATAGGGTTGAACAAACTGTGTTTTAATAAGCTCTCCAGGTGCTTCTGAGGCAAGCTCAAGTTTGAGAACTACTACCTTAGGTCTCTTGACTTCTAGCTCTCAACTCACAATTAAAATGTCTTTATTTATGTGGTGATACTTCTTGGGGTATTTCCAACTAGTATCTCGGAATGCAATGATTAAAAGATGAACTGCTAGATGACTTTGACCATTTTGGCTTTGCCACAATGCTACTTAGTTTAGGTAGGGCTTTGGATATTTTTCTTGGCACTTAATTGTCAGCATTTTGAATGTCCATAGTTCATCCAGATGATAGCCTTATGCATTCACCAAAACTGATGTCTCAGTAGTCACGTATTCCACGCAATCCTTGCTGCCTGCTAAAGTGCTTTCTCTGGACAAATCTGGGGAAGTCGGTGTCTGGTAGTTCAAGATACAGTTCCAGGGGTCTTGTTCTGTCCAGCTAAGAAGTGAGAAAAAGGGGTGATTTGGAGTGGATCCTCCAGTGTCAAAGTCAACCAGAGATTCCTGAAGATTGCCAGATTCTCTTGATGGTTTATTCATGACATTTTCATCTTCATTGTCCCGATATTGGATTATCTTAAGAAGGGAGGTGCCAACAATTTGTGCAGCCAAGGTGCTTATTACATGAATCTATCTCCTGGTTAATTTTACAGGTAATCCCTTTTCAGAGGAGACAGAGTCTCACTCTGTCTCCCAGGCTGGAATGCAGTGGCTCAATCTCGGTTCACTGCAACCTCCGGCTCCCGGATTCAAGCAATTATCCTGCCTCAGCCTCCCAAGTAGCTGAGATTACAGGTGCTCACCACCACACCTGGCTAATTTTTGTATTTTTAGTAGAGAGCATTTCTCCATGTTGGCCAGGCTGGTCTCGAACTCCTGACCTCAAGTAATCTGCCTGCCTTGGCCTCCCAAAGTCCTGGGACTACAGGCGAGAGCCACCGCGCCCAGCCTCTTCCCTGCTGTTAAATATTGCTTTGCCTCTTACTAACCCGGCGACCTTGGCCAAGTTGCTTAACCAATCTGTCCCTTAGTTTCTTCATCTGTAAAGTGGACATAAAAACACCTACTTCTTGCGGTTGTGAGGATTAACTAATGTTATTTAGCATCATGTCTGACAAATAGTAGGTACTTCATACATGGGGTCAAGTTGATCATCATTACTTAAAAAAAGAAGTATCTACCTTGCTTTATGTCTGGAGATTTTGTGGCTGTGTCTCTTGTAGACAGAAAAATGAAATCTAAATGCTGGAAAAAATATACAGAGAAACAGAATGATTTTAAATCCAAGTTCCAGCAAGACACTGGGAAGAGAATATTAGGTGCAGAGAGATCAGATGGGAGAAACAAGATCACACAACAGGAAAGCTGGGAACTGAAGCCATTTTTGAGTTTTAGTTTAATGCTTTACATAGTGGATTGATTTTGCCATTCTGCCTGATTCAGATGCCATGGGGAGAATAACAGATTAATTTGATAGAATCAGAGAATACATAAAAGAGTGTTTAATGGAGTGCTAACAAAGCTCTGAATAGATTTTCTTTTTTTAAACTTTTTAAAAACATAAATAGAACATGTTTATTGTAGAAAAATAGAAGAATTCAGAAGAACAAGAAGAAAGCATCAAAAACTTTAGCAACCTTGTAATCACACTACTCAGAGAAAACCATTATTAATATTTTGTAGTGAATCCTTTCAGTTAACACTTATTTCAATGTGTGCTCATGCACACGTGCATGCACACACACACACACACACACCAGAAACACATATCCCATACACTTTTTTTTTTTTTTTTTCAGACAGAGTCTCACTCTGTCATCCAGACTGGAGTGCAGTGGCGCCATCTCCACTCACTGCAACCTCTGCCTCCCGGGTTCAAGCGATTCTCCTGCCTCAGCTTCCCGAGTAGCTGGGATTACAGGTAAGCGCCACCGTGCCTGGCTAATTTTTGTATTTTTAATAGAGACGGGGTTTCACCATGTTGGCCAGGCTGGTTTCAAACTCCTGACCTCAGGTGATCTGCCCACCTTGGCCTCCCAAAGTGCTGGGATTACAGGCATGAGTCACCATATCCGGCCTCCATACACTTTTTAAACAAATCAATTTGCACCGAATATACCATTTTGTAACCTGGTGTTTCCATTCAACAAAATGTTATGAAAGTTTTCCATAGACCTTATTTCATATGATAAAATATTTCATTTCATGGATACAACCAATTTATTTAACTAATACTGTAACTGATGAATCTAATGACATTATGTACAATGCAATGATAAACATTCCTGTATGTACATATTTTTCATTAATACAACCTTAATTGAGATATACATACAAAAATACAGAAATCATAAGTACATAGCTTGATAAGTCATAGAAAAATAGATATAGCCAGGCAATACCTCCCAACTCAAGAGATAGAGCAATACCAGCATCTCAGATGCTCCCTTTGTGCCCCTCCCAATCACTACCCCTTTTCTCTTCCCTAGTCTTAACTACTATTCTGATTTCTGTCTACCACTATAGATTATTATTGCCTGGTTTTGTACTTAATATACTTGGAATTCTATGATATGTATTATTTTGTGCTTGGCTTCCTTTGTTCAACATTATAAGTGTGAGATTGATTCATGATATTGTAGCTTTGGTTTGTTCATTTTCATTGCTGTATATTATTTCATGGCACAGGTATAACATAATTTATTCATCCACTTTTATTGTTAATGGACATTTGGATTGTTTCCAGTTTTTATTTATTAAGAAAAATATTGTTCGTGAACATTCTTCTACATTTATTTTTGTGCACATATGTACACATTTCTGGAGTATAGGATAGGATTGTTGAGTCATAGTATATTTTCAACTTTCAATTTATTTTCACTTCTGGAGTAGTATCAGTTAAACTCCCCCCAGCAATGTGTGAGAATTCACATTGTTCCATATTTTCTGCAATACTATAGTGTCAGTCACTTTGGTTTTAGCCGTGCTGGTGGATGTGAGGTTATATCTCATGGTTTTACTTTACATGAGGTTGAGCACTTTTAAATATGGTTATTGAATGTTTGGACATCTCTTTTGTAAAGTGCCCATTCAAGACTTCATCATTTTTCCATTGGGTTGCTGTCTTTTTTATTCTAACAGTTCTTTGTACAGTCTGGATGTAAGTCCTTTGTCAGTTATATGTTGCAAATATCTTTGCCAGTGTGTGACTTATGCTACTGCACTCTTTGTGGTATCCTTTGGTGAACGGTAGTCCCTAATCTTAATGAAATCCAGTTTATTAATCTTTTCCTTTTTAAATAAGTGCTTTTTTTTGTCCTATTTAAGAAAGTTTTGTCTACCTCAAGGTCATGAAGATAGTCTCATGTTTTCTTCTAAATCTGTTGTTTCACCTTTTGCATTTAGATTTGCAATCCACCTAGAATTGATTTTTAGGTATGGTGTGAGGTGGGGTCAAATTTCATTTTTGGGTGTGTATATTCCATTGATCCAATACCATTTAATGAAGAGAATGCCTGTTTTCTACTGCTCTGAAATTCTACCTTTGTCACTAATTGAGCATCTGCCTATGTGTGGGACTGTTTCTGTACTCTCTATTCTTCTCCATTGGTTTATTTGTCTATCTTTTCACACAGACCACCCTGCCTCAATTACTATAGTTTTATGATAAATATTGATATCTGATTATGTCTGTTATCCCACCTTGTTTTCTTTCTTCAGCAAGTATTGATAAGACTAAAGGGAAAAAGGAATTTTTATATACTGTTAGTGGAATGTAAATTGGTACACATACTTTGAAAAACAGTTTGGCAGTACATGATGAAGATTCATATATGCTATGACTCAGAAATTCCACTCGTATGTACATACCCAACAGAAATGTGTCCACATGTACACCAACAGGCATGTATAAGAATATTCTTAGTGACATATTTTTTGGAACAAAAATCTGAAAATAACCCAAATGTCCTTCAACAGTAGAATGGACTAATGTATTGTGGTGTATTCATCTACACAGCCACGTAAATAAATGGATCCAGTGTAAGAGACTGTGTTCCTCTGCAACTACAGTGCCTGTGGGGCGGCTCCTCCATAGCTTCACCTCTTGCTGGGATTCAGTAACACATTTCTTTCTCTTGCTTTTCAGGCTTAGGGGGTGGTAACAGTTTCTCACTGTTTCAAGTCAGTGTGCTCTGACAGTAATCCTGTCCACACCTCTGTGCACAGCTCCTTCATAACATCTCTTAATTGGATCATACATGGTGAATTCTGTTTGGTGCCAGGACCCTGAATGACGTACACACACACACACACACACACACACACACACACACACACACTTTTCATGTGGATGCATACGCATGATCGTATTATACATACAATTATTAAAAAGTTTTATACAATTGAATTATTCTAATACAATTCTATTTCCTTTTCTTAGATTACCAGGTTCTGAAACTCACAGGGACTTCAAAAGTCAACCTGTCTAATCCCAACTTTGGGTAGATCAATTGTTTTCACCATGTAACAGATGGGCCACTATGGGCCAGAGAGGTTAAACCCCCTGTTCCTGGTCACACAGCTGGATGGGTGGCTACGTGAAGACTAGAACCCAATCCCCTGATACGGAGCACAGTGAAGTGCCATTTCTCTTACACGCTGGCTTTCAAACTTGGCTGCACTTTAGAATCACCAGAGAGCTTTAAAGAATATTGATGCCTGGGTCCCACCTCCAGAGAACTTGATTTAATTGATTTTGATTTAACATTTTAATAAAACATATTTTAAAGATATTTGTATTATAAATATTTTAATTTTTATTATAAAATAAAACATCACAATAGAATATCACACAAATCAAATGCCTGGTTTAATGAATTATTTTAAGGTGAATACCACCCAGATTTTTTAAAAAATAGAACTTTGCCAGCCACTCTGAAAGCCCCTTCAGTGTAACCCATCCCAACCACAATCTCTCCTCCTCCCCTAAATAACATCCTGATTTGTTTTATTTATTTATTTATTTATTTATTTTAGACACAGAGTCTCTCTCTGTCACCCAGGCTGAAGCGCAATAGCAAGATCATGGCTCACGGCAGCCTCCACGTCCTAGGCTAAAGTGATCCTCCTGCCTCAGCCTCCTGAGTAGCTAAGACCACAGGCCCATGCCACCATTCTCAGTTAAATTTTTTTGTTTGTTTGAGATGGAGTTTCGCTCTTGTTGCCCAGGCTGGAATGCAATGGTACGATCTTGGCTCACTGCAACCTCCGCCTCCCAGGTTCAAGCATTCTCCTACCTCAGCCTCTCAAGTAGCTGGGATTACAGGCATGTGCCACCAAGCCTGGCTAATTTTTGTATTTTTAGTAGAGACGGGGTTTCACCATGTTGGCCAGGCTGGTCTCGAACTTCTGATCTCACATGAACCATCCGCCTCAGCCTCCCAAAGTGCTGGGATTACAGGCATGAGCCACCATGCCCGGTCCTCGGTTAATTTTTAATTTTTAATTTTTTTCTAGAGATGAGATATTGCTATGTTGCCCAGGCTGGTCTCATATTTCTGGCCTCAAGCGATCCTCCTGCTTTGGCCTCCTAAAGTGCTGGGACTGCAGGTATGAGCCACCGTGCCCAGCCATCCTAACTTTTATAGTGATTGCTTCCTTGAAGTTTTCCTTTAGTTTTATGACAGGAATGTGCATCCATAGACACTGTAGTTTGCTCTTGCCCATTAGAAGATATATCTTTTTAAGTATCTTTGAATCTGTGGGTTCCTCCTCCACCCTTTATTTTGCATACAAGCTTTGTGACCTGTACTCTCCCACAGTCTGGATTTCATTATTTGAATTCTCTTGGTACAGTTCAATGTGTTTCTCTGTCCTCTGTATTTCCTGTAAATAGACAGGTGATCCAGAGGTGGATTAGATACAGGTTCGATCCCTTTGACAAAACTATGGACACTGTATGGCAGGACTGTAGGAGGCACAGATTGTCCTGTTGTCATTTTTTAATGATCTTAATAGCTGCAAAGTGTCAGTATCTATCATTCACTGCAGAGTTGTCAACTGCTGATATTCTATCATTTCTGTTTTATTTGAGTTGGAATACTTTCATAAAAACACACATTCTCTCATCTACTGTTTTGTTTTCCAGGAGTAAAGTTCATATAGAAAAGGCAGGTACTATAGTCTAAATGTCTATGTCTCCCCGGAATTCATATATTGAAATCCTAACCCCCAAAGTGATGGTATTAGGAGGTGTGACCACTGGGAGGTGGTCAGGCCATGAGGGCTTTTAGTCCCTTAGACCATGTGAGGACACAGCAAGAAGGTGCCATTCTATGAATCCAGAGGTGGGCCCTCAGCAGAATCCAACCATGATGACATCCTGATCTTGGTCTTTCCAGACTCTAGAATGGTGAGAAATAAAATTCTGTTGTTTATTTATTTCTTTATTTAATTAAATTAATTAATTAATTTATTTTTGAGACTGAGTCTCTCTCTGTCATCCAGGCTGGAGTGCAGTGGCACAATCTCAGCTCACTGCAATGTCCGCCTCCCGGGTTCAAGTGATTCTCCTGCCTCAGTCTCCTGAGTAACTGGGACTATAGGCACACGCCACCACACCCAGATAATTTTTGTATTTTTAGTAGAGATGGGGTTTCACCATGTTGGCCAGGCTGGTCTCGAACTCCTGACCTCGTGATCTGCCCACCTCAGCCTCCCAAAGTGCTGGGATTGCAGACCTGAGCCACCACGCCTGACCTATTTATTTTTTAGAGACAGAGTCTCGTTCTGTCATCCAGGCTGAAGTGCAGTGGCACAACCATAGCTCACTGTAGCCTGGAACTCCTGGGCTCAAGTGATCCTCCCACCTCAGCCTCCCAAGTAGCTGGCACTACAGGCCGAGGCCACCATTCTCAGCTAATGTTTTCTTTGTTTGTAGAGATAGGGTCTCACCAGGTTGTCCAGGTTGGTCTCAAACTTCTGGCCTCAAGCGATCCTCCTGCCTCGGCCTCCCAAAATGTTGAGATTACAGGCGTGAGCTACTGCGCCTGGCCTTCTATTGTTTATTAGCCACCCAGTTTATAGTGTCTTGTTATAGCAGCCCAAGTGGACTGAAAGAGCAGGATAAATGTTCTATTTATTCCTTTTATTTACCAGTTTTCTTTTTTTTTATATATATATATATTTTATTATACTTTAAGTTCTAGGGTACAGGTGCACAACGTGCAGGTTTGTTACATATGTATACATGTGCCATGTTGGTGTGCTGCACCCATTAACTCATCATTTACATTAGGTATATCTCCTAATGCTCTCCCTCCCCGCTCCCCGCACCCCACAACAGGCCCCGGTGTGTGATGTTCCCCTTCCTGTGTCCAAGTGTTCTCATTGTTCAATTCCCACCTATGAGTGAGAACATGCGGTGTTTGGCTTTTTGTCCTTGCAATAGTTTGCTGAGAATGATGACATAGGCATGGGCAAGAACTTCATGTCTAAAACACAAAAAGCAATGGCAACAAAAGCCAAAATTGACAAATGGGATCTAATTAAACTAAAGAGCTTCTGCACAGCAAAAGAAACTACCATCAGAGTGAACAGGCAACCTACAGAATGGGGAAAATTTTTGCAATCTACTCATCTACAAAGAACTCAAACAAATTTACAAGAAAAAAACAAACAACCCCATCAAAAAGTGGGCAAAGGATATGAACAGACACTTCTCAAAAGAAGACATTTATGCAGCCAACAGACACATGAAAAAATGCTCATCATCACTGGCCATCAGAGAAATGCAAATCAAAACCACAATGAGATATTTACCAGTTTTCAAGGCAAAATATTGGTTCCCTATCATCCTTTGAAGGTGACTAATTCCTTTTTTCAAACAAATATCAGATACTTTGATCTTAGATTTAGACACATTTGATGAGTTTCAAGCTATTACAGCTATTATAATTATTGAAGCTTTTCAGTGACAACTGGACAATGTGTGCCTACTATAGTCCTGTCATACAATACCCATAGTTTTGCCATAGGGATTGAACCTATGTCTAATTCACCTCTGGATCAGCTATTTGCAGGAAATACAGAGTTTAGGGAAACACACTGAACTGCACCAAGAGAATTCAAATAACAAATTGTTGACCTATGGCCAATGGGAGCCTCCTCAGGTTGGCCTCTGAGTCCTTTTGACATAACTCTAGTAGTCTTTGATGGCTTGCTTGCAATCTGGTATTACACGATACTCCAGGTTCATCTTGTATTTTTCCTGCCCCAAACTTGGGATCAACTATTGCTTTGGGTAAACTCTTAAACCATGCTTTTCCTCTGCTCTCACACCACAACAATCAACACAGAAGACTTCTGTGACCAAATATATGGGGGTTTTCCCCCAACTACAAGCAGTGAACACCAGCTGGGTGTCTTCCAATTCAACTCCGACTCTATGTACCTGCAGATAACATCGGATTCCACAGGTCGAGGGCTCAGACCCCAAGATTGCCCCCTCCTTCAGACACTAGTTGCAAGTTTGGGCCTCTGAAAGTTCTGACTGACCAGCTTCAAGTTGGGGTTCCCATGACCCCCTCTTTGGGCTTGATTAACTTGCTGGAGTGGCTCACAGAACTCAGGGAAACACATTTACCAGTTTATTATAAAGGATATTACAAAGGAAGCATATGAAGAGATTTGCAGGGCAAGGTATGGTTGAAGGGTTGTAGAGCTTCCAGGCCCTTCCTGGCCATGCCACCCTCCAGGAACCTCCACTTGTTCAGCTGTCCAGAAGCTCTCTGAATCCTCTCCTTTTGGGTTTTTATGGAGGCTTCATTACATTGACAACTGTGTGGAAATGTGATTGGACAAAAAGGATATGATCTCATACTAATAGACTGAGTGGGGAAATCCAGTAAGGTCTGTTTGTTCGGATTCTTCTTGGCCTCTTGGTAAAGTATGGGACGAAACCCTCTCTGGATTGAGGGCCTTTTGACCCTTAATCAGATTAGAGTCCTGACTGGGCAGGTAAAAGGAGGACAGGACAAGGTGAGAGAGATTCTGTTTCCTGAGGCCTGCTCCTGAGGCCTAAAGCACCCCAACATTATAACAAAAGACTGTAACAAGGGCTATGGGAGTTATGAGACAGGAACTGTGGACGAAAACATAGATTTTATATATATATACATAAAATCATAGTATCACGCCCATTTCTTGAGAAGTCCTGGTTTCTTTTAGTGAGAAACAATACTTCAAGGCCCCAATCTGGGTGCTAAGAGATGTTCAATGGTACATCATTAGTTATTGTCTTTATGCTTTTTTTAGTGGACAAAGTGAAATAATCCATGAGTTTAATATTTACAGTTAGATAGTTTTTGTATCAATAGGACTTTTGTTTAACCCCTTCTCTATTATACCTGTGTATTCTTTCTTTTCTACTGAGAATACTTGTTCTTGAGGATGATAGAATTAGAATATGTTGTAATTGTGTATTTGTTTTATCCCATATTACCCACCCAAGAGTATCAGAATAACAGTGCTAATACTCCCACTGACATAATTATTGAAAACATTTTAAACTTTGCATATATTTTCTCTGTTCTCTCTCATCATTTAAAAATAGTTGTATTATTGGGACAACTAGATACCCACATGCAAAAGAATGCAGTTGGATCCCTACCTCACACCCTAGACAAAAATTAGCTCAGCATGGATCAAAAACAAAAATGTAAGAGCTAAAACAATAAAACTCTTAAAAGAACACATAGGTGCAAATCTTTTTGACCTTAGATTAGGCAGCAGTTTCTTAGATATGACATCAAAAGCACAAGCAAGAAAAGAAAAAATAGACAAACTGGGCAAAGTTAAAATTAAAAACTTTCATGCTTCAAAGGATACCATCCATCAACAAAATGAAATGGCAACTCACAGAATGGGAAAAATATTTGCAAGTCATCCCTCTAATAAAGGACTTATATCTAGAATATATAGGAAACGATTACACCTCAATAATAAAAGACAATAATCCAATTTAAAAATGGGCAAAAAATCTGAATAGACATTTCTTGAAAGAAAATGTACAAAGAGCCAGGCGCAGTGGCTCACGCCTGTAATCCCAGCACTTTGGGAGGCCGAGGCAGGTGGATCACCTGAGGTCAGGAGTTTGAGACCAGCCTGGCCAACATGATGAAACCCCATCTCTACTAAAAAAACATAAAAAGTAGCCAGTCATGGTGGTGTGCGCCTGTAATCTCAGCTACTTGGGAGGCTGAGGCAGGAGAATTGCTTGAACCCAGGAGGCAGAGGTTGCAGTGAGTCAAGATCACGCCACTGCATTCCAGCCTGGGCAACAGAGCAAGACTTCATCTCAAAAAAAAGAAAAAGAAAGAAAGGAAGGAAGGAAGGAAGGAAGGAAGGAAGAAAGAGAGAAAGAAAGAAAGTGTACAAAGGACAGTAAGTACATAAAAATGTTCAACATCATTAGCCAATAGAGAAATGTAAATGAAAACCACAATGAGATGCTATTTCACACCTACTAGGATGGCTCTAATAAAAAAGGATGTAGAGAAATTGGAAACTTCACACAGTGCTGGTGGGAATGTTAAATGGTGCAGCTGCTTTGAAAAATAGTCTGGCAGTTCTTCAAAAAGTTAAACAGACTTACCCTACAATCCAGCAATTTCACTCCTAGGTATCTACCCAAGAGAAATGAAATGTTTGTGTCTACACAAAAACTTGTATACAAACGTTTATAGCAGCGTGATTTGCAATAGCCAAAAGGTAGAAAAAACCCAAATGCCCATCTACTGATGAATGGATAAACAATAAACACTGTATATCCATATGATGGGATATTGTCCAACCACAAAAACAAAGTGAAATGCTGATACATGCTACAACATGAATAAATATTGAAAACATTATGCTAAGTGAAAGCAGCCAGCCACAAAGAAAACACATAATATATGATTTCCTTTGTACGAAATATCCACAGTAGGCAAATCTACAGAGACAGAAAGTAAAGTAGTGATTACATAGGGCTGGGGGCAAGGGTGAAGGGTTTAGGGGGTGTGGGATTTCTTTTGGGGGTCATGAAAATGTTTTCAAATTGATTGTAGTGATTAATGCACAACTCTCTAAATATATGAGAACCCACTAAATTGTATGCTTCAAATGGGTAAACTATATGATGTGGAATATATATCAGTAAAGCTGTGTTTAAAAAGTAAAAAATTTTAAAAAGTTGTATTACATTTGTCTTGTCAGACCACATAGTCATATATATATATATATATTCAATTTTTTTTGTCTCTTAGCCCTTATTTATTTGTAGTTCTACAGGTAATTATAATTGAATGGGCCAGGTGCGGTGGCTCATGCCTGTAATCCCAGCACCTTGGGAGGATGAGGCAGATGGATCATTTGAGGTCAGGAGTTCGAAACCAGCCTGGCCAACATGGTGAAACCCCATCTCTACTAAAAATACAAAAATTAGCTGGGCGTGGTGGCGCATGCTGTAATCCCAGCTACTCGGGAGCCTGAGGCAGAAGAATTGCTTGAACCCAGGAGGCAGAGGTTGCAGTGCAGTGAGCTGAGATTGTGCCACTGCAGTCCAGCCTGGGCAATAGAGACTATGTCTCAAAAAAAAAAAAAAAAAAAAGAATGCCCATCAGGTATCCTTATATTGATATATTTATGTCAGTCTGGTTATTTTGCTGGTTGGAAATTCTGTGATAAATTTCTCAGGAAGGCTCATGAAAACAATATTCCCGAGTTTTTACATGTTGATAACAGTTTATATCCTTTATACTTGCGAATTATTTTTGCTGGATATAAAATTATTGTGTCTTTCCTTGAAAGTCTTAAATATGTTAGTTCTTTTTATTTTCTTTGGCATTATGCATTGTTGTCAAAAATTCTGATGATAATCCAATTTTCTATTCGCTAAGAGTCAAATGAGCCTTTTTCTAGGTGCCCAGAAAATGTTTCTTTCTTTCTTTTCTTTTTCTTTTCTTTTTTTTTGTAGACAGAGTTTCACTTTTGTCGCTCAGGCTGGAGTGCAGTGGCGCGATCTTGGCTCACTGCAACCTCTGCCTGTGGGGTTCAAGCGATTCTCCTGCCTCAGCCTCCTGAGTAGCTGGGATTACAAGCGCCCGCCACCACGCCTGGCTAATTTTTGTGTTTAGTAGAGACCGGGTTTCTCCATATTGGCCAGGTTTGTCTCGAACTCTTGACCTCAGGTGATCCGCCTGCCTCGGCCTCCCAAAGTGCTGGGATTACAGGCGTAAGCCACTGTGCCCGGCCCCTTTTTTCTGAAGTCTATTTATTTATTTTCAGACAGGAAACTTTTTTTAATACTTTTTTTTTGGGAGTCGGGGGGGCAGGAAACAGAGTCTCGCTCTGCCACTCAGGCTGGAGGGCAGTTTCGTGATCTAGGCTCACTGCAACCTCTGCCTCCCAGGCTCAAGCAATTCTCATGCCTCAGCCTTCCGAGTAGCTGGGACCACAGTCATGCACCACTACACTTGGCTAATTTTTGTATTTTCTTGTTGGTAGAGACCGGGTTTCACTCTATTGGCCAGGCTGGGCTCAAGTGATCCACCTGCCTTGGCCTCCCAGAGTGCTTGGATTACAGGTGTGAGCCTCCCAAAGTTCTGGTATTACAGGTTTGGTGAAACCCATCCAGGAAAACTTTTTATTTTTCAAATCACAAACTTCCCAAGTGTCAATTTCCTCGTTTAAAAAACATATGCGGCCGGGAGCGGTGGTTCACGCCTGTAATCCCAGCACTTTGGGAGGCTGAGGCAGGTGGATAACCTGAAGTCAGGAGTTCAAGACCAGCCTGGCCTACATGGTGAAACCCTGTCTCCACTAAAAATACAAAAATTAGCCGGGTGTGGTGGCACGCGCCTGTAATCCCAGCTACTTGGGAGGCTGAGGCAGGAGAATCTCTTGAATCTGGGAGGCGGAGGTGGCAGTGAGCCACTGCACTCCTGCCTGGGTGACAGAGTGAGACTCTGCGTCAAAAAACAAACAAAACAACAACAAAACATATGCTTGGATTAAATTTGCAAGTGTTATAATACCTAAAATTCTATAAAAGAAAATAAATGTTTAAAATTTCAAGCCAGTTATCCTTGTGGGAATTTATGTGGATGCTGCAAATAGAAAGAGCAAAGCAAAGGAAAATCTTACAAGTAAAATCCCACTTTTGTAATTTCATATTTTCCTAAAAGTAGAGATTAAGCTATGTTTGAAAGATCTTAATTTTCATCCCACAGAATAAATAGAGCAATAACATTTTATTTTGTAACCAATCAATTTTAGTTTCTCTATCTTCTTTACATAATATTGTATTTGAAAACTTTTTTTATCATATGTGGTGCAAACACATAAGCATACATATTTAAGTGCACAGATATTGTTTCCAGTAGGATTTAAAATTGCAATATACTGTGGTGTTGACTGTTCTGGGAAAATACTATCAGCTATGTGGTGTGCTCTTTCAATATGCAATTAAGAATCTTTTTTATTTTCAGGAAAGTGTTTTTTTTTTTTAAAGTAAATGTATACAGTTTAATATTTGTCCTATGCCCTTGCTTTGGTTTTCTTTTATAGGAATTTCTATTACCTGTGTGTTTAATTTACTTTACCTTTCTCTTTTCCTTTTGATCTCTCTTCATTTCTTTTTGATTTAAAAAGTTTTCCTCTTTTTCACTTTCTAGAAATTTCTCTACAGGTACTTGTTGCATTTACTTGCTTGTATTCTTTCTGGTTTAGTATTCATTTATGAACTGATTTTCTCCTCTTCTTATTCTTATTCTTTCTTGAGCTGTGTCACCTTGTTTCTGAGGCTTCCTGATTCTGAGTTAGGTTGTTGTTAATGTCTCTTAGCTCATCTTGAAATAATAGGCTACAATTTTTCTTTCTTTTGTGGGCATGTCTTTTTGGCATACTTTCATTATCCTTGGGATGTTATTTAGCTTCCCATTTTCTTTTTTCTTATTATAATTTTGCATGTGATTTGACCTTGATACTACTGTGTTTTTGTTTTTGTGTGAAATCTGTTTCCCTGTACTTTGAAAAAATAAGGTGGAATTCCACAGAGCTTTTCTAATTTCACAGAGCTCCCTCTTCTGTTGCTTTTGTGTAGTGTTCAAAAATATGGTGGTTTGCTTTCTGGGATTTTCTGGCTCCATTCCCCTCTCCATTTAGGTCTAGCGTTTCTATTTCCATGTAATATCTGAGACATACATCCACTAAAAAATTATTTAGTGTTTATTTAAAATTCGCACTTAACTGAACATCCTGTATTTTTCTTTGCTACATCTGGCAACACTAGTTGTAAATATTTTCCATGTGCTTTGGTTTTGCAATCTAGTTCTGCTGTTTTTATGTAGAGATTTGCAGAGATTGAAAAACTATGTGGTTGCTGCTGTTGCCACTTTCCCAGAATATGCCACATAATTTTCAAATGTAATCTTCTTTCCTTTCTTTTACCGCCTTGGTGTACTTCTCGCTTCCCTTACACATATTTCACCCTGTATCTCCTCAGATAATCCATGTTCTAAACCTAGTGTGCATTTTTCTATAATTTTTATTACATGTATTTAATCATACATGCCTATAAGCATTACATATGGTTTTCTGTTTTTTAATTTTTTTTAAATTTATTATTATTATTATTATTTTAATTTTGGGGGACAGAGTCTCACTCTGTTGGCCAGGCTAGAGTGCAGTGGCGCACTCTCAGCTCACTGCAACCTCCATCTCCGGGTTCAAGTGTTTCTCCTGCCTCAGCCACCCAAGTAGCTGGGACTACAGGTGTGCATCACCATGCCCAGCTAATTTTTGTATTTTTAGTAGAGATGGGGTTTCATCATGTTGGCCAGGCTGGTCTCAGACTCCTGACCTCAGGTGATCCGTCCGCCTTGGCCTCCCAAAGTGCTAGGATTACAGGCATGAGCCACCATGCCCGGCCTGTTTTTTCTTTTCTCTTCTTTCTTTTTTTTTTTCTTTTTAAACAAAAGATCACATAGTATACACTTTTCTTCATCTTGATTTTCTCTGTCAACAACATCCTGCGGAAATCCCTCCAACTCATAGAACTCTATTTCCCTCTTTTTCATAATATTCAGAGATGTGCATGATCTGTGATTAGTTCAACCATGTTCTTAGTGTTGGTCTTTGTAGATTTTTTGCCACTACAAATGCATCTGTAATAAACACCCTTATACAGATCCTTATAAGTGATTGCTTTTGTTTCTGTGAGAGAGACTTCTGGGAGTATATTTAGTGAGAAAAATGTGTTTCTGATTGTTGCAGGAATGGAGATTGGGGCATTCAACATCCATGGCATCCCCCTTAAAGCACACTTTCCCAAAGAAGAGTGGGCGTAAAGCTAAAAAAGCAACACCCCAGACTCCAATTAGTTCAGCCAAGTAAATAGCACTTGTGCAGGACTTAGTTGCTAGAAGTGAGTTATGTGATAAGTCACTGAAGCATTTGACTTTTTTGCACAGAAGGTGTAGTGAAGTTTCTCCCTACTGTCTTGTCCTTAATCTCATTCATGTCTGTAAAAAGTAGTGGTGTGGGACCCTCCATGGTGGGATTGGGTGTTTCTCCTGGCTGCATCATCACCCAAAATTGCCTGGAAATTATTAAGATAATATTCTGTAACAAATCCTGTTCATTAAAACATGTTACAGTAGATTCTGTTGGCTAAAACAAGTGCCCTTAACCCCTACCAGCTGTGATTGCAGTAAACAGTACTTCAGTGAAATGGGGAGGTTGGATTGGTTATCTGCCTTCGTTGCAATTGAAAGCTGTGACAATCTGTTTGACATCAGAGAATGGTTGCTGGCAGTGCATGGTACACAGTGGTGGACGATTACTTCAACTATCATCTGTGGATACCTGGAGTGAAGTACATATTGAAGATAATGCCTTGGCAGTCAAAGTAGCTGCTGTGACAGATGATGTGAAGGCCATAAGGAATATAAAGGTTGTGACTTGGGTGGGCTATTTCTAACTGCTTAAGGAAAGAAAATTAAAGCTTCAGGGTTTTAAATTCTTGCCTGAAGACATGGTTAGAGAACCAGGGAATTCCTATGACTGCCCTGAAATAATCTCTCCATGTAGTCCTACATGACTGAGGTTAACTGGCTTGCTGGATTAATATAGGTTGAACTCATAGTCCTCCCTGATCTTTTAGGTAAAAACTTAGGGCATCAATTGGGAAAGGATGGCACCATGAGAATTTGGGGAAATTTGGGAAGATCTGAGGATACCAAGTACCTCAAACCCCAGTGAGTTTCTCTTGATAGCAGAAGCCCTCTCACCCTTACCCTACCCCATCTTATATGCCTGTTCCTGTCCTACTTTAAGCCCTTCTTGTGATCTCACCTAAGATAGTTTTCTTGTCAGCAGATGACAATTCTCATTATCCCCCTCCTGTCCCTGCTCATTGTACTGAAACATACAAGCAGTCATATTGTCCTGTGTCCCAGGGGACCAATCACAAAGTTAAACCTTAGCAAAATAATTGCAAAGTTTTGCTAATTTATTTCAACAAGACATGGGTAATATATATATGGACATGGAGTCTAAGAGATTAGGGACACACTTTTACATTGGCCTGAATTTACTTAATTTTAGAGGACCTAATTGCTTCTTTAGTTTGATTAAAACTTGGTGTGGCCTATGTGATGGGAAATTGAGATTCCAGAAACTCATACCAGAAACACATCAAAGTATGATATAAAGAAATCAGCTGGGTGTGGTGGCTTACGCCTGTAATCCTAGCACTTTGGGAGGCCGAGGCAGGTGGATCACCTGAGGTCAGGAGTCTGAGACCAGCCTGGCCAACATCGTGAAACCCTGTCTCTACTAAAAATACAAAAAATTAGCTGGGCATGGTGGCTGGTGCCTGTAATCCCAGCTACTCAGGAGGCTGAGACCGGAGAATCGCTTGAACTCAGGAGGCAGAGGTTGCAGTGAGCTGAGATCGAGCCACTGCACTCCAGTGTGGGCAACAAGAACATAACTCTGTCTCGAAAAAAAAAAAAAAAGGAAATCAAAAGACATGTTTTTGAAATTTTGGAGTGGATTTATCAAATGTGGATTTGTCATTCACTCACTCCCTTCCAAATTAAATTACCCAAAAAGGCTCAGAGAATATTTCTTTCACCATGACATGGAAAAGTACAAATGTAAAAAAGTGGAAATGGAGAAGGAAAATTTGGATGAGGGATTTTGCTATAGAAATGTATACCTGGATTTTGGTGAAATGATCCTATCCCACAGTGGCGGAGACCATGAAGTAGCACTTAACCAGTGGAGAAAGGCAGCATGGCTACACAATAGGTATCAGTGATAGAGTGGTTCTCAGAATTGTCTGACCCATAGGAAACTTTGATGGTGGCTAACCTGAGGTACTCAGGGCCAAAATACATAGACAGACCACTAAGATTCTACTCAACTGTAAAACTAGAAGAAAAAAATTTGTTACGTGTATGGAAAGAGTCCTGACTTAAGCTATCCCAATGAAGAGTCATGTCCTCTCACCCTTTTTCCATTTCTGAGTCAGTTCAATGACCCAGCACCCCTTGAATGAAGGAGAGATCAGGAACCCTGGGGAGGAACCCTGTGGTAACTTAGATATATATAACTCTTATTCCTCCTGTTTCCCAAGAAGACTCAGGCCTATTTACCATGGAAACTGAGCCCCAGGGAAGACAAACATTCAGATCTCTCAGGAATGATTAGCTACTGGGTCCAAAGCAAGCTTAATCCCTGAGAAAACTGAATTCCACTGTCGTCCCCCAGTCAGGGTGGGATTTATGAGAGCTAAGTGATGAATTTTGGGCTAGCATTCTTCTCACAGTGGCCCAGTGAATCTTATATCCATACCGTGTTTATTTTCCTAGTTCTGGAGTTCATAGTGGAAGTAGAAATATTCAGCTACTGGTAGAAAAATAAAGATTGTTCTCTGACCCATGGAATCATGTCTATTATGGTAGAAAGGGCCAAGTGTAAGTACATGGAGATTCCTCTCCCTACCAAAGTTATAAACTAAAGACAATATCATATCCCTTTGGAATTATGGTGATGAGGTACCATCAAACACTTAAAATACTTATAAGTAGTGATTCTTACCACATCTCCATTTCACTCACCTGTTTGGTGTGTGTCTTTGAGAATTTTATTGGATTACTATAAGCTTAATCAGGTAGTAATTTCAATTAGAGTTGCTGATTCTCTTTACTGGAGAAAAATTAACCCAGAGCCTCATACCTGGAAGGTGAAATTGTCTTTTTTTCTATCTCCTAATAAGCAGATAATAGTAGAGGAAATTGCTTTTACCTGTAAGGGTCACTTATCTATCTCTATTTTCTTGGCTTAAGGTGGTCATACTTTGGTCCCTATGGGCATGAGTGTCTCACTGTCTTACTGGATATTACTTTGAGCCAATATATTGATGACATTCATTCTGATAGGAACTGAGAGCAGGAAATAGTAGGTATTCTCAATTCCCTGATGAGATACATGCCTGCTGAAAGGTGGTTGTGAAATCCCACAAGAATTCCAATGTGTTCCCTCATGGAAATGTTTGGGAATCTAATGTCCTGGGGAACATTAGCTGACACCTTCAAAATGAAAAACAAGTTGTAAAATGAAAAACACCCTGCATTCCTACCTTTAAGAAAAAGGTACAACACATGGCAGATTATTCTGGATTTTTGAGGCAACATATGGTGCATTTACTGAGTAACCTTTACTTTAGCCCGTTGACTAAGTAAACTGTAAGGGGGCCAGACTTCAATGAACTGCAGAATAAGAGAAATTCTGGCTTGTTGAAGCTGCTTGGCACCCAGCTTTTATGATCCAAAGTATGAAATAGTCCTCGAAGTATTTGTGGCAGATTGGGGTGATGTATAAAGGTTGCAAAAAGCCTAGATAGAAGAATCACAGCATAGCCCCTTAGGATTTTGGAGCAAAATAAAATTCTATTAGGAAAATCACTATTCTCCTTGCGAGGCTGTGGCTTGCTAGAGGCTGATAGAGACTGAGCACCTGAATATAGTACACTAAATGACCATGAGATCTGAATTATCAGCATAAACTGGGTATTATCTGATTTACCATGCCTTGACATAGAGTATGCCTAGCAGGAGTTCATCATCAAGCAGTAGTAGTATGTATGAAATTGGGCTTGAACAGCTCTAAGAGGCACAATTCAGTTGAATGAATAGGGGTTGTTCAGTATTTACAGTGCTCTTATTTTTGACATTCTATAGAAATTTTTAAACATACAGAACAAAAGACTTGTCCAGTGAGCATCCATATACCTACCACGTAGATTCTACCATTAACATATTCATATATATATATATATATATATATATAGAGAGAGAGAGAGAGAGAGAGAGAGAGAGAGAGAGAGAGAGAGAGAGAGATGAAGTCTTGCTCTGTTGCCGAGGCTGGAGTGCAATAGCACGATCTCGGCTCACTGCAACCTCTGCCTCCTGGGTTCAAGTGATTCTCTTGTCTCAGCCTCCCAAATACCTGGGATTACAGGTGTTCGCCACCACGCCCATCTAATTTTTTGTATTTTTAGTAGAGATGTTGGCCAGGCTGGTCTCAAACTCCTGACCTCAGGTGATCCTCCTGATTACAGGTGTGAGTCACTGTGCCTGGCCCATATTCTTATATATATATATATTTTTGCACATTATCTGTTCATTCCTGTATGTATCCACAAATTCATCTTGCTTTTTGGATGCATTTCAGAGTAACTAACCTAGTTCTCTACTTCTATTGCATATCCACCTATCCCTCAAGCCACACCTTTGGACTCTTGGGTTGTTCCTTGTGGCCAGCTGACTGAAGAGGAAAACCCTTAGCCTAGTTTATAGCTGGCACCAGACAATATTCTGTCAGTAGCGAGAAATGAAATCAGCAGCATTAGAGCCCTGCTCAGAGTGGGCCTTCAAGACAGTGGTGAAGAGAAATCTGCCCAATGTGCAGAACTTATATTAGTACATTCTATTTCCTCTTTGCCTGGAAGGAGAAGTATGAATGTACAGCAGTTAATAAGTAGTGATTAATTGTCTGGCCAGCCAGACAAGAGACTTGGGAGAAACAGCTCCAGAGGGCAGGGGACAAGGGAGTCTGAGAAAGAGGTGTGGTTTCAGAATGTGAGGATATTTGTGTAAAACATGAATGCTCACCAGAAAACCTCCACAGGGGATGAGACTCTCAATAATTGAGCAGACAAGATTAGCTGCTCTGGGTTTCAGTCAGCCTTTTTGCCCAGCTTGCACAATGAGTTTATGAACTAAGTGGCTATGACAGCAGAGATAGAGGCTGTGCTTGTGCTCAATTCTATGGTCTCTCATCATCAAGGCCGACCTAGCTTCCACTTGCTGAGCACCCAATCTTTCAGCAGCAAAATCCAATGGTAAGCACCTAATATAGTATCATAATCTAAGAAGATCAGCCAGCCACCTGGTGGCAGGTTGATTTTATTGGATCCCTGTCAATGTATTGCCCATACTAGAATAGACATTTATTCTAAATATGTATTTGTCTTGCTTGCTTAACGAACATGCTTCTGTTAAAAATGCCATCCTTGAAATTACTGGATACCTTATTCCTGGCCATGGTATTCTGTACAACATTGTTTCTGGCTAAGAAAGAAGCAAGGCAATGGGCTGGCCCATGCAGAAATTGCTGATCTTATCACGTGCCTCATTACCCAGAAACAACTGAGTATATAGAATGGTTAAATGGCCTAATAAACTCAGGTACTGAGACAGCTGGAAGACAACTGGGGAAGTTAGGCGAGGGGAGTGGGTGCTTCAAAAGTCTGAACAAGTAACTATTAATAATATATGGTGCTGTTTCTCCTACAGTCAGAACTCATGGATCTGGGAACCAAGGGGGTGAAAGTGGTAGTGTTATTTTAAAATATTATGTCTAATGACCCATGCTATGGTTCAAATGTGTCCCCCAAAAGTTCACAAGCTGGAAATCTAATTGTTAAATATGTTTTAGCAATTAAAGAGGTGATTTAGGCAGTTGCCTTTAAGAGGCAATTAGTCCACGAAAGCTCTACCCTCATTAAGGGATTAATGCTGTTATTGCAGGAGAGGGTTAATTATCATGAGAGTGGGCTCCCAATAAAAACATGAAGTTCAGCCTCCATCCCTCTCTGCCTCTTGCATGCATGTCTCCTCATCATATGATGCCTTCCAGCATAGGATGACCCTCACCAGATGCTGGCACCTTGCTCTTGGACTTCCCAGCCTCCAGAACCATGAGTCAAATAAATTTCTCTTCCTTATAAATTATCCTGTATGTGGTATTCTGCTATAGCAGCAAAAATGGACTAGGACAACTTACCAAATGTTTGCTTCCTGTTCTTTCAATTTTTGGCTGTATTGATTTAGAGGTTTCTGTACCCAAAGAATTAATGTTTCCACCATGGGACAAAGCAAGGGCTCCACTGAATGGGAAACTGAAACTGTCACCTGATCATTTTGTATTCCTCATGCACCTGGATTAACAGGCCCAAAAGGGGATTACCATTTGGCTGGGGTAATTGATCCAGATAATCAAAGGGAAATAGGAATACTGCCACAAAACTGAGTGAGGAAAAAATATATCTGAACACAGGTGAGCCTCTAGAACACTCCGTAAGAATGGAATATCCAGTAATAAAATCTAGTGGGAGGCTACAGTACCCCTATGGTTTGGATCACCCCATGGATAAAATGGCTCAACTGGCTGAGACACAGACTGAGAAAAAGAGAACATGATGTTGACATCACAGCATTTCAGTAATGTTCTGTAACTTGTGCCTAGCTGCAGAAATGAGGACTTTAGGAGCTATCTTATGATTCCTCAAATTATGCATATGCATATGTAATTACACATATATATTAAATATTTATTTTCAATTATGCATTTTAATATTCCTTGTATCTTTCTTCCACTATTTTATATAAGGCAGATGTTTTTGTTATCTGATGATGTATAACAAACCACCTGAAAATTTAATGTGTTAAAACAACAATTTATTAGCTTTCACAACTCTGTGAGATTACTGGGTACTCATGGGAGCTAGAGTACATCTTTCCAATAAATTTTTTAAAAAATTAAGTTGACCAGAGGAGTAATTCTATTGCCTACAACCAAAGAACACTAATTGGAACAGAAATTGGTATCTGAGAGTGTGTTCTAAGCAAAAGGCCCTCAAAGAAATATGGTGTATTTTGAATTGATTATCAGGCCAAGATAAGACAAGAGGCAATTACACTCCAATTTCTAACTGGGGCAAGGAAATGAATAGCTCATGGAACCCGGTGGAGAAATTCCAAAATTTCTAGGGAACTTGGGAGCAGTTGCCTACAATACACCCCAGAGCCTGCTCAAATGGGCACCTTAACAAAGTGGCCCTGGTGGCAGGGATGGATACTATATATGAACTAAAAATTATGAACTTCCTTTCACTAAATTTGAGCTCACTACCACCTCTGTTACATAACAATTGCTGACAACAGCATCCAGCTGTGAACCAGTGATGATAGCAACAACGCCTTGAGAAGATAAGTGAGCTGAGATCATGGGGTCCCATTACACCATGGATGAGACAGCAATTTTGGACTCACAGGAATGGGAACTTATTGCATATTTCATGTTGTGCTCACTGGTTCATTGTATACTAAATATATTACGTCTATCTAGCTGCCTATCTAGCTATACATACACAAATATATACATACACATATAGATATATAAAACAACATCCCTGGCTCACACCTGTAATCCCAGCACTTTGGGAGGCTGAGGCGGGCGGATCACCTGAGGTTGGGAGTTCGAGACCAGCCTGGCTAACATGGTGAAACCCCGTCTGTACTAAAAATACAAAAATTAGCTGGGAGTGGTGGCAGGTGCCTGTAATCCCAGCTACTTGGGAGGCTGAGGCAGGAGAATCACTTGAACCTGGGAGGCAGAGGTTGTAGTGAGCTGGGATAGTGCCACTGCACTCCAACCTGGGAGATAAGAGTGAGACTCTATCTCAAAAAACAAACAAACCAACCAACAAAAAAACTCACAAGATTTCTCTCTACATATGCCATATATTAACTTTTATAATTTTTTCTGATTATAAAATCATTATAAAAATGAAGCTATTATTGGATCAACTTAGCCCTTAGTGGAAATGACTCATCCTAAGGAAGACTTTGCCACCAGGAGTCAATGGCAGGTTATAATCAGTTTCCCTGCCACCCACTCAAGCACCTGGAAATGCCCTTCACTTTCTGCCCACCTAATGCCCCCAGAAGCCAACTGGGAGAGGAAATTAAAAGTTCTCCAATAGGCAGACATCTATATCAGCTCCAGTGAAACCACATTTATTCCAGTGTTCTATTCAGAATCTTTTGATCAGCCAGTTCAATTTGAAGTCCATTTATTTCTTTCGACAATGTTAACCAAGCACCTCCTTATATGCCAGAGGCTTTTTTAGGGACTAGGCATGCAGTAATACAAAAAACACACCAAATCCCTTTTCACACTACCTAGAGAGGGGTCCATACAGTGTTGTTCTGGATTGCCATCATAACTTAAAGGAAAATGTTCACAATGTCTGGAGTCCTTAATGTTCTGCAAATGAAAGAGGAGGATGTCATCAAGTTCCTTGCAGCAGGAACCCATTTAGGTGGCACCAACCTTGACTTCCAAATGGAACAGCACATCTATAAAAGGAAAAGTGATGGCATCTACATCATAAATCTGAAGAGGACCTGGGAGAGGCTTCTGCTGGCAGCTCATGCCATTGAAAACCCTACTGATGTCAGTGTCATATCCTCCAGGAATCCTGGCCAGCAGGCCATCCTGAAGTTTGCTGCTGCCACGGGAGCCATTCCAATTGCCGGCCACTTCATTTCTGAAACCTTCACTAACCAGATCCACTGGCAGCCTTCCGGGAGCCACATCTTCGGGTGTTTACTGATCCTAGGGCTGACCACCAGCCTCTCAGAGGCATCTTATGTTAACCTGCCTATCATTGTTCTGTGTAACACATTCTTCTTTGCACTATGTAGACAATGGCATTCCTTGCAACAAGAGAGTTCACTCAGTGGGTCTGATGTGGTGGAGGCTGGCCCAGGAAGTTCTGAGCATGCGTGACACCATCTCCCATGAACACCCATGGAAGGTCATGCCTGATCTTTACTTCTACAGAGATCCTGAAGAGTTTGAGAAGGAAGAGCAGGCTGCTGCTGAAAAAGCTGTGACCAATGAGGAATTTCAGGTTGAATGGACTGCTCTAGCTCCTGAGTTCACTGCTGCTCAGCCTGAGGTTGCAGGCTGGTCTGAAGGCATGCAGCTGCCCTCTGTGCCTATTCAGAAGTTGCCTACTGAAGACTAGAGTGCTTAGCCTGCCACGGAAGACTGGTCTGCAGCTCCCACTGCTCAGGCCACTGAATACATAGGAACAACCACTGAATGGGCTTAAAGCTGTTCTTCCACAGGCTCTTAAGCAACATGGAAATAAGGCTGGTGGAAAATAAACATCATTTTCTAAAATAAACAAACAAACAATCAAACAAAAAGACAAAAATCGCTTCTCATGGAGCTTGCATTCTCATGGTGGGAAGTGAGACAAACAATAACTAAATAAATAAATTTGGGTGGTAATAAGTGCAAAGAAAAAATAAGACATGGGCAAGGGCATGGGTATGTTGGGTTATCAGAGAAGGCCTCTAGTAGGGCAGAGACTCTGGAATATGTTCTAGGCAGTGAGAACAGCCCATGCAAGGGCCCTGAGGCGGCAGTTTGCTCTGCACGTTGAGGAACAGTGAGGAAGCCAGCATGGCTGGAGTGGGGTAAGCAAGGGGCATGAGTAGGAGTTTAGATCTGGAGGTATTTCAATGGAAGCCAGATCATGTAGGCTCCTGTAGGCTTTGGTTAGGACTCTGAATTTTATTGTGAGTGTGGTTGAAAACCCTTGTAGCATTTTGAATAGAGACATGAAATGCTCTGTTTAATGATTTAGTGGGATCACTCTTGCTCCCCTGTAGAGAATGGTCTTGGTCTTTGATGCAAACCAATTCCATGCCTCTACATTTCTTCATCTTCAGCCATATAAAAATGCAAGCTCCCCCCATTTCCTCTCACTGAAAGGCTTTCATCTCCCTATTTCTGCAAGTCTTTCTCTTGGGCTCATCTTCCACTGCTGACCTCCTTTCTCCAAACTTGTGTTGCAATTGTAGGCAAACTTCCCTGCCTAAATAGCCTTTCACCTTATCCCATCCTTAACTGACACCTCTCTTTCCCCTGAGGACACAACTGTCCTTGCAACCTCTGCAGGGCAGGTTGACATGTTCCCATGTTCTACTTATTATACAACAGAACCAGCACTTAGACTTGCCTGCTCCCACTGACCCACTGGAAGCTTCTACACTGTTTGGTTTAATGGGAAGCTGCACAGACTTTGTAGTCAGGCTGGACTTGAATCTCCACTGCACCCCCTTTTACTGGCTGGGTTACACTGGGCAAATTATTTAACTTAATATGAGCCTTGGTTTCCTCACCTGTAAAATACATTGGACAATTTTTGTCAAGATTACAGGAAGCGATGATTGTAAAATACCCATTATAGTGCCTAGCACTCAAAAAACCTTACTCTTCTCTTCCCTCCTGTCCCTTTGATAACCATATGACCCTCTTGTCACTTATCTGTATAGTGTGCAGGTAGAATGTGGCATTTGACTCACCTCGCTAATCCAGACTTCATCCCCATTTGTGATGGTTAATCTTAGGTGTCACTTTGAGTAGATTAAGGAATGCCTAGAAAATTGGTAAAGCATTATTCTGGGGGTATATCTGTGAGGGTGTTTCCAGAAATGATTAGAGTATGAATCTGAGTAGACTAGGTGGAGATCTGCCTTCAATGTGGGCAGGTACCATCTAATTGGCCGGGGGACCTGAGAGAACAAAAACAGAGGAAAGGCTAATGTATCTATCTATCTGCTTCAGCGGGTATACACTCTTCCGCTCCTGTCCTTGGACAACAGAACTCCAGGTTTTCCAGCTTTGGACTCCAGAACTTATACCAGCAGTCCTCCAGGTTCTCAGATCTTACACCTCAGACTGAGAGGTATACCATCAGCTTCCCTAGTTCTGAGGCCTTTAGACTTGGACTGAGCTATGCTACCAGCATCCCAGGGTCTCCAACATGGAGGTGGTCTGTTGTGGAACTCATCAGCCTCCATAAGCTCATGAGCCAATTCTAGTAAATCTCCTCTCATAAATCCATATATCTACATCTATATAGCCTATTGGTGTGTATTGCTGGAGAATCCTAAGAGTTTTCATAACCACATGGGAGACTTGTTTCAGGAACTCATTCCTGTAGCCATACCTTGAGCCATTTAAACTCCAGTATTTTAGTTTCTGGTCAAAATCTCCCATCTCTCCATTCATCCTTAATCCCTTTTGAGCCATCTTGTGCACTCTAGTCTCCAAGTGCTCCTTCTCCAAGGTCTGACAGCTGCATCCCTGGGCTCTACCTCCTTCCTTATTTGACCTGGACTTCCTCCTGTGAATCAGCGAGAGTTTTAGAGTTCAAGTGATAGAAACTGACTCTGGCTAACTTCAGCAGAAAAGGAACCTACTGGAAGCATATTGAGGGGTTTCAAGAACCAGTGGGAAAGTTGGAAACCAGGCTTGGAAAAGGGGTGGCATGTGTTAGGTTTGTCATTCGGTAAATATTTATTTCCTATCCTCCATCAACCTCCATGGGAGAAATACGATGCTGGATTTTCCCACATGATTTTCTTTGGACATTGAAGCATTGGAGGAAGAGACAGTATGCCTGTAGCCTTAGAAGCATTTGTGTTTCCACTCATCCTGAGAGCTTTGGACCTCCATCATAAAAGAAGCATTCTCTGGGTAACCTGCTAGTCCCAGAAGAATGAAAGACTGGTAAAGATATCCTAGCCAATTTGTACACTGCAGCCTGAAACAGATATCCCCAGGTAACTGGCTTGTGTATAAGCAAGAAACAATGCTTTTTATTATAGGTCCTTGAGATTTTATGATTGTTTATTACACAGCATTGTGTGAGTAGCTGGTGAACCAAGTAGTCCTGGTAGAACCAAGGATGGGCGGGGAGCAGGACCCATGACTAAGCATGCCATAAGAACTAATTGATAAGGATATGTCTCCTTGCTCCTTTGGCTGTTGCTACTGCTGGACTCTCAATTCCACCAGTATGAATGTGTTCTAAGCCAGTGCTTTTCACACTTTAATATGTATGAATCATGTGGGATCTTGTTAAAATGCAGATTCAGTACATCTCGGTGGGCCCTGAGATTCTGCATTTCTAAGGCTCCCAGGTGATGCCAATGCTACTGGCCCCAGACAGACGGGAATATTCAAATGGGTGAATCTAGGTCACATGTCCATGCCTTGACTGTTAGGTGACAGGTAGAGGGATGACCCTTCTGTGATGGGTCAGGGAGCACTGTATCCCAGTAGTGCTATTCAATGGGAAATAAGAAGAGCAGCTAAAAATATTACAAATGTCTATCCAGGCTCCCTATTAAATCACTTTAACCCTTCTCTTGCTCTTGGTCCTGCTATTGCACTTGTTCTGCAACTCCTGATCTTGGATCAATCCCCTGGCTACCTTCATCACTTTTACCAACTTATTCATTCATTTAAAACATATTTTCTGAATTCCCATAATATGCCAGCCATCAGGGATAATTTGGTAAAAAAAAAAAAAAAAGAATAATGAAGATTCTACCTCTTGTGGCTTATATTCTAGTGGAAAAAAACAGACATTCTCAAATAAAAAAATAAGTTTAATGAATCCAGGGTGCTAAATGTGCTATGAAGAGAATATCATGATGAGTAACTAGGGGCAGCTTACATGAGATAAGTCAAGCTGAAGTCTGAATTATGAGCTCAGAGAATAGCTGAAAGAAAAATGTTCAAGGCTGAGGGACCAAATGCAAAGTCTTGAGGCAGGGAAGGTCTTGGCTTGAAAAACAGAAAGGAGGCCAGTGAGACTAGGGTTATTGAGCAAGAGGGAGGGAAGTGTTGAATTAGGGTGGAGAAGTAGTCAAAGGCCAAGCAACAGGGAAAGCTAAGAAATTTAGATTTTATTCTGAACATAACAGGGAGCATTGGAGGCTATTTAAGTAACAGCAGATGAATCCATACATATTCTGAGAGCTCACTTAGGCCACTGAATGGAGAACGGATTGTAAGGGCAAGAATAGAAAGCAGGAGACCAACAAGGAGAGTGTCAGTAGTCCAGGTGAGAGATGCTTGTGGCCTGGCACCTTTCTTTTTTCTGCTGTATGAGAAAGCCACATACTTCTCCTATTTAAGAGTAATCCCTCCACCTGAATCACTCATCATCTTCTCTGTTTTTATTAATTCTCCCTGTTTTCTACCTTCAATCTCTTTCCTTCCTTTGGGTCTATTTCCTCAGCATACTAATATATTCAGATCTCTTACACATAAAAAAGTAACAGTATTAAGAGGTGGGACCTTTAAGAGATGGTTAGGCTTCACCCTTCACTCCTTCTGCCATGTAAGAGTGGAGTGAGAAGGTGGCTGTCTATGAGGAAGCAGGCCCTCGTTAGACACTGAAACTGCTGGTGCCTTGATCTTGGGCTTCCCAGCTTCCAGAACCTCACGAATGGATTAATGCCATTATTGTAGGAGTGAGTTAGTTATCTTGGGACTGGCTTTCTGATAAAACAATGAGTTCAGCCTAATTTCCTCTCTCTGCCTCATGCACTTGCTTCTGCCTTCCGTCCATCCTCTTTGGGATGACCCTCACCAGGTGCTAGCACTATACTCTCGGACTTCCCAGCCTCTACAATAGTGAGCAAAATAAATCTCTTTTCTTTCTAAATAACCTAGTCTGTGGTATTCTGTTACAGCAGCACAAAATAGACTAAGACACCTACATTCTACAATACCACTCTTTTTGTGTTCTCTTCCTATCTCTCTGGCAGTTTCTTTTCAGTTTGTGTTTTCATCTTTCTTGTCCGTGCCACTATCCACTCCTGTCACTCATCATCTGAGTGGGGTTGCAACCTCCTTACTCTGACCTCCCTTCCTCTACCAGAGTCCTCCTCCACATCATTGTGTACTTTGGTTTCTAAGGAGGATGGGTTAAGACATATAGTGACATATTGATGTAATTCAGAAACACAACTATTTGTTTAAAGGATGATGTGTTTTAAGAATGATTCCTGGTTACTCTCTGGAAGGCTAAGCCTCAGGAGACATCAGTTTGGCATTCAGACTGTCCACTTGCAATATAAGAGCTGCTGGACAGCTTAAGTATTTTCAGCTGTAGACACTGGGATTGTCTGCACCAGTTGATCTAATTACTACCTTACCTATACCTAACTTTATACCTTGGTGAAGAATTATCTTGGAATAAAGTCATTCCTGCATCCAATCACAGCAGGAACCTCAGGTAAACAATTCATTCAATGAGAGTAATGGCTCTGCCATATCCACCAATCCCAATCTTGGTTCATACACTACAGAGAACAGCAGCAATTAAAGTGACATTTTAATAACCAGGCATAAGATGTTTTTATTATAAGGATTGCTGAAATTCCTCAATTCATGATTACTATGGTTTGAATATTTGCATTCCTCCAAAATTCATATGTTGAAATCCTAACTCCAAGGTGATTGTATCAGAAAGTGATTAGTGTCCTTATTTTAAAAAGCCTAAGAGAGTTCCCTCCCTCCCTCTGCCATGTAAGAGTAGAGTGAGAAGATGGCTGTCTATGAAGAAGCGGGCCCTTGTTAGACACTGAATCTGCTGGTGCCTTGATCTTGGACTTCCCAGCTTCCAGAACTGTGAGAAATAAACATCTGTCATTTATAAGCCACCTAGTCTATGGTATTTTGTTATACCACTCTGAACAGGCTAAGAAAATAATTTTACTACTGGCTTCATGAAAAATATTCCCAGGGTTGCCTCCAGGCAGATATTCTAGGAATCCAATGTAAGCAAACCTGGTCACTGATTTCTAAGGGGAAACTCTGTCTATGTCTCCCCATGAGACTGTAAATCCTGAAAGCAGGAAGATGTCATTTAATTTCTGTTACTCTAGCATCTGGCAAAGTGACTGGCATTTAGTAGCTACTTAATAAATATTTGTTGAGTATTTGTATATTTGACTGAATATACAAACTAATAACAGCCAGATCACATATAAGAATAGAACCCTCAGCTGCATGTGGTGGCTCATGCTTTTAATCTCAGCCCTTTGGGAGGTCAAGGTGGGAGGATTGCTTGAGACGAGGAGTTTGGGGCTGCAGTGAGCTATGACCATGCCACTGCAGTCCAGCCTGGGTAACAGAGCAAGATCCTGTCTCTATTTTAAAAAAGCAGAACTTTGATCCACAACCAGTAGTAATCTTCCCAGGAAATCAACCCATATCTACAATAACCAGTCCAGGAAGCTAGCCTGCTATGCCAGACTTGTAGGAAGCCAGATTGCCGTCTCTAATAAAAATCTAAGAAGCCAAACAATAATCCTTATAATAATCAGCCCCAAATGGCTAGGACTTTAATAACTTGACAGCTTCCCTAAGTTTTGTCTTTGCTTGCAACTTAGGACTAACCAGAGAAAACCAGATATTCCCCCCCAAACAACTCCTGTAAGATGCCCAGTTTCCAGTTAGCCCTCCAACAGCTTCCTGTGCCAACAGCCTCCAATCAGGGCACACCTGAAGCCTTCCTTTCTTTTCCACTATAAGATTTTCCCACTCCTCTGCCTGCCTTTGAGTCTGCCAAAACACAAATAACAGTGGCTGACTCCCTTGCTACAGCAAGTTCAGAATAAATAGACTTTGCTTGTTCTCATTTGATTAGTCTTCATTTATTTTCACAAGTAAATGCCTTTGGAGACTTAGGACAGACCTGGACCCGCCATGGTAACACGGCAGAACCTTAGGATTGGAAAGGGGTTACGGAGAAACGTAATCTGGATAGCTGTTGGAACCTGACTTTCTCAGGTTATTTGCCTCTACACCCTCTTTTCCCATTCAAAAAAAAAAAAAAATCCTGAACCTTCAAGGCTTGGGTTTGAAAGCAGAATCTTTTGACAAGAGACAGCCAGCTGACTCTGCAGTTCCCAGTGGCCCCCTGAGCTTCATCTTTCACAGGTAGTAGGCTCAATTTGATGACTCCTGTCACTGCCATGCTGGTCCATGTTCAAGGGTCCTCAGAGACTCCTTCCCTGGGTTGCCCTTAGCACAGCTCCAGTAAGCTGGAGTTTCATAATTTTTTTTTTTGAGATGCAGGCTTGTTCTGTTGCCCAGACTGGAGTGCAATGGCACGACCTCTGATCACTGCAACCTCCGCCTCCCGGGTTCAAGCAATTCTCCTGCCTCAGCCTCCTGAGTAGCTGGGATTATAGGCATATGTCACATGCCCTGCTAATTTTTGTATTTTTAGTAGAGGAGGGGTTTTGCCATGTTGACCAGGCTCGTCTTGAATGCCTGACCTCAGGTGATCCACCCGCCTGGGCCTCCCACAGTGTTGGGATTACCGGCGTGACCCACAGCGCCCAGCCCATAATGTTTTTACAAATTAAAAAATGTCACCAGAACCTGCACTTTGGCTTCAGGTAAGTCTATGTTAATAGTAACCTCTCGGCCGGGCACGGTGGCTCATGCTTGTAATCTTAGCACTTTGGGAGGCCAAGGCAGGCAGATCATGAGGTCAGGAGTTTGAGACCAGCCTGGCCAACATAGTGAAACTCCGTCTCTACTAAAAATACAAAAATTAGCCGGGCATGGTGGTGGGCGCCTGTAGTCCCAGCTACTCGGGAGGCTAAGGCCGGAGAATGGGGTGAACCCGGGAGGCGGAGCTTGCAGTGAGCCGAGATCGCGCTACTGCACTCCAGCCTGGACGACAGAGCGAGACTCCGTCTCAAACAAACAAACAAACAAACAAACACATAAAAGTAATCTTCCAGTTCATTGGCTCTGGTTCTTCTTCAAATAGGGCCTCATCTCTCCTTTACTCCAGGTAGTGGTGATATTAAAAATATTTAGCACCTGGAATGACAAGTGCATGGACCAATCAAAACAGGGGCTCAAGCCGTACCAGGCATTAACCCTTTAGTTTTTGGATCCTGGGGAGGTCTGGGTAGAAGGTAATGGGGGTGAAGAGGGGAAGGGTGCTTGGGGGCATTGGCTATTTACCAATGAATATGAAAGTATCTCAGTATTTTAACAACCAGAACAGCATTCGTGCACACCAGATGAATGTCAGACCTGCCTTCACATATTTCTGGGAGTTGTCAGTTTGTTGTATTCAACATAGGCTGCCATAACAAAATTCCTTAGACTGGGTGGCTTAAACATTTATTTCTCATAGCTCTAGAGGCTGGGAAGTGTAAGATCAGGGCACTAGCAGACTCAGTGTCTGGCGAGGGCCCTCTTCCTGGCTTGTAGAGGGCTACCCTCTTGCTATGTCTTTACATGGTGAAGAGAGAGCAATCTCTCTCTCCTCTTCTTAAAAGGGCACTAATCCCATCACTGGGACTCTACCCTTATGACCTCATTTATATCTAATTATCTCCCAAAGGTCCCACTTACAAATACCATTACACTGGGGGTTAGGCCTTCCACATATGAGGTTTTTCTTTTGTTTTGTTTTTGGAATGGAGTCTTGCTCTGTTGCTCAGGCTGGAGTGCAGTGGTGCGATCTCTGCTCACTGTAACCTCCACCTCCTGGGTTCAAGCAATTCTCCTGCCTCAGCCCCCCAGTAGCTGGGACTACAGGTGCATGCCACCAAACCTGGCTAATTTTTGTGTTTTTAGTAGAGATGGGGTTTCGCCATGTTGGCCAGGCTGGTCTTGTACTCCTGACCTCAGGTGATCCACCCGCCCAGCAGTGGACAGCCTCTCCTGCAGGTACACTGGCCTCCGCTGGGCATGACTGAGGTTTCTCATGTGTGGTTTTATCTCTGAAGCACTAATTCCTCCATTAGCCTCTACAGGTGCTTCTGCTCTTGCCTGACAGACCTTATGTTCTTCTGTGGATGTCCAAGCTGCCTTGGGAAATCTCTGGGTACCACCACCAAAGTCTTAGAGCCCTCAAAGTGCCTGGATTTTCCAGACATTTAAGGTAAAGTGGGGGAGGAGAATGCCTCTTTTTCTCTTTAAATCTCTTTTATGAGAGGAGTACCAAAAGGGCATTTATGTATTTATTCATTGGACAAACATTGAGGGCAACTATACATCAGGCATAATTCCAGGCGTTAGAGCTAAAGTGAAAAAGACAGGCTCCCTGCTTTCATGACACTTACATTCTAGTGGGTGGAGACAGAATATAGACAAACATATGTAATGTCAGCTAATAATAGGTGTAGGAATAAAGCAGAGTCATGGGTTGGAGAATGATGGAGTATGTCGGGTATGTCTGCTGTTTTATATCTTAGACTGGATGATCAGAGAAGACCTCTGACATTTGATCAGGAAACTTAATCAAATAAAAGCGTGAGCAATGGGGGATATGTGGGAACATAGCAAATGCAGACTCTGTAGCAGTGTGCACATGCTACAGTGTTTTATGGTTTTAATGACCAGTTCCTTCACTTTTTCCTGTCGTCTGCCTTTTGTCTTATGCTTGCCTTCTCAAACCTCAATTAAGATTTTTTTCTATAACTGACAGGTTTTTTCATCTATCATCTTTGTTTATCCAGAAACAGAGAGAAAAGAAGAAGAAAGACAAGGAGGGGAGGAAGAGAAGCAAAAGGAGGAGGAGGAGAAGAAGGTGGCAGCAATAACAATGGATGTAGGAGGGGGAAAGGAGGGCATGCTGCCCTTGCTCCTTCTTTCATTGCCTTTTGGCCCCTAGATGAAGAAAGGGCTGCACCACGAGAGAGGCAATTCTAGTCTGAGCAGTCTCTTGGGCCTGTGGGCAAGTTAGATGTGGGGCAGCAGGAATCTGCTCCATTTTGAGTTGTCTGGCGTTTTTATGTACTCATTTGGTGCAGTCCTGCTATGGGGATTGATAGCCAGGAACCTGCACCATGAGTCCCAGGTATAGGATCCTCTGTTCAAAGTATATGGGTAGGTCTCATGTTCCATATGGGCCTCCACCTATCTTTTCCCATTCTCAGGACCCTCAGCTCCTTTTGGCAGCAGCATCTTAATACCTGCTGCTACTAGAGGGAAACATCATTAGGAGCACTTGCTTGGCCATAGTAGGTTGGTACCAGCAGGCAACATTCCTGTTTCCTAGTACAGTGCCTGGAACCTAGAAAGTACTCAGTAAACCTTTGATCAGGAGGTACTGTGCTTCAGGACAGAAACCAGGATTCTGGTAACTAGGAATACATTCCACTCATGGGAAGTTTAAAACTGGCAAGCTGTGTGTAGGTATGTGCCTGTAGTCCCAACTACTCAAGAGGCTGAGTGGGAGGATTGCTTGAGCCTAAGAGTTTGAGTCCAGCCTGGGCAATAGTAAGACCTTATGCCTAAAAAAAGATAAAAAATTAAAACCAGGGTAGAACTAGAACTTACATAATTGCTTCCTTTAGTTTAATGTGTCAATGTTCTCTAGCAACCCAGTGTTGGTTTCACTATTCATTGCAACAAGGGAGAACGCACACCATGGGAGATCATGAGAGATCTCCATATTGGGATGTTACTAGGAGTTATAGGATTTGCCTTGTGTTAGGTGATTTTAGGGGGCAAGTTTTAAAGGCCAGTGCTTTTCTGTGTATTGGATGCTGTCAAGATGAGGGAGTAATTCTATGATTGGGCATCTTAATAAATTTTATTCAGAGGAAAAGAATACAGTGATGGGCTGGGCACAGTGGCTCAAGCCTGTAACCCCAGCACTTTGGGAGGCCAAGGCGGGTGGACTGCTTGAGCCCAGGAGTTCAGGACCAGCCTGGGAACCATGGCGAAACTCCATCTCTACCAAAAAAAAAAAAATTAGCTGAGCACGGTGGCACACACCTGTTGTTCCAGCTACTCAGGAGGCTGAGGTGAGAGGATCACTGGAGCTGGTGAAGTCGAGGCTGCAGTAAGCCATGATCGTGCCACTGCACTCCAGCCTAGGTGACAGCAAAAAAAAAAAAAAAAACAAACCACAGTGATGGTAGAGCTATAATTGATTTAAAAAAACAGCCATCAAATTAACTGGAAAAGGAGGGTGTTTGATGTGCACAGTAACGTTGTTTTTGTCTGTGCTTAGGCAAGGTTATGAAATGGTCTTGTCATGTCTCGTTTCTTCAGTCACAGAAAGACCATGTGTGATGTCGGTGTTCTGTGAGATTATTTATGCTCAACAGGAGAATATTGAGGGATGATGGTGAATGCCAGGCCAGCATGTGACAACCCTGAGGCTTAGTTACCTGTGTCAGACCAGTTCCCAGGCACCCTAGATTTATTTAGTGAGTCCTCCAGTTGGTCAAGGGTAGACAAAGTCAGGCCACAGGACCATTAATCTATGATATTCAGATTTTCACTATTGCTAAATTTATGCTGATCTGGAGGATGCAGTCTGTAGTTGGGTTAATTCCGCCTTCTGTTGTAGGATTTGTTGAATCATATGATATGACAATGGCTGTGCAGAAACTAGGGCTGTGGATAGGATACGTTGACCAAGTGCAAAAGAAGCAATTACCAGAAACAAAATGATTATCCATCTTTGTAAAAAGTCTTGAAGACAGGGACCCAGATTATAAAGTCCTGGCAATGAAAACATGCCCCAGAATCCAGCTGAGTCTGTTTTTAGGGAGCCAGGAGGATTTTCTCTTTTCAGTTTACTCATGTTCTACTGACTCTGTAGTATGTTCTACTGGCCCAGTAGTATGTGAGTATGGTGACAAGTGTTGCTAAATACAAACTCCTCCTTGGCCAGCTAAGAAGAAATCAAGGGTTATATAATTATCCATGAAAACTCTGGCTAAGGAATTCAAATTTAAGTGGTTTTCTGAGCTGCTATAGCAGAAGTTTTGCTATCTATGGGGTCTGCTAAGGTCAAATACCTCTCTTGGATCTGATCTCTTTCTGTTGTATTATCTTTGTTGTAGGAATTTCATTCACAGAGTACACATGAAAAATGAGTCAGTTATCCCTCCTGGGAGTTCTCCCAAGTAGTCTGTGATTGTGTGCTTGCTTCATTTTGTTGGTTTCTGGGTGTTCTTTTCAAAGAAACACAGTCTACTGGAGGGGTGGTAATTTTAAGCACTGGAGGGTCTCTAACAATTAGCTTCAATATAAAGGGTAAGTTAGTGGGCAAGCCAGATGTTCCCATAAATAAGTAGTACCCTAGGGGAGTACAGACTGCATTGGGAGGATAAGGGCTATTTAGCACATCAGGGACAAGCCAACTTTCTTTCCCTCAGGATAAGCAGATTTCTTGGATGAAGTTAAACAGGTTTCTCCAAAGCAGGCTGGAATGTTTTGGAAGAGAATGACCTGAGTAGTGTATAAAGAATAGCCCCAATATTAGTTTCTATTCCTGAAGGGCTAGGTTTTTCTCATAGGATTGTAATGACTTCAGGGAAACATTCTGTTGAAGTGTAGGTCAAGGTCCAATTTTTAGAAGACTGAGGTTTGGGATGAACTTTGTGGGGAATGCTTAAGTACCAGAAGTGACCTACAGAAGAAAATCTACTTGATGAAGTCTATGAAAGCACAGTTATTAAATTTTGTCAACAATTCCTTAAAAGCAGTAGCTACGGTTTGAGAAAAACACTCCAGAAAGTGTCTCTTTTCTTTTCTTTTTTTCCTTCCCTTTCCTTTCTCTTTCCCTTTCCCCTTTCCCCTCCTTTCCTTTCCTTTCTCTTTCTCTCTTCTCCCTTTCTCTCTTTCTTTTTTAGATTGGGTTTCACTTTGTTGCCCATTGGCACGATCACAGCTCACTGCAGTCTTGGACTCCTGAGCTTCAAGGACCCTCTTGCCTCAGCCTCCTGAGTAGCTGGGACTCCAGATACGTGCCACCATGCCCAGCTAATTTTTTATTGTTTTTAGAGATGGGGGTCTTGCTACATTGCCTACGTTAGTTAGACTCCTGGTCTCAAGTGATCTTCCCACCTTGGCTTTCTAAAGTGCTGGAATTACAGGTATGACCCACTGCACCTGGCCAAATAATGTTTACTTTAAGTAGTAGAACATAGGGAGTCAAAAGTAACAGGATGAAGATAAGGGTTATCTCCCCGAGAAATCAATTTGTTAGTTAATCAAGGGTGTCAAAATGCAATAAGCAAGATTAGTGGTAGGGTAAGAGATGCCAAGGAATCAGAAATTAATCTTGTCCTGTTGTCTTGGGTATAAACTGCCCATTTCTGCAGTAAGCAGCTTCTGGGGAAGTCCCAGGAATCTTCAGTTTGAGGTCTTCCAATAGTATGGGATGTCCGGTAGCCAGGAGAAAATGATGCATGTCTTTTTAGTTGTGTAATATGAATCCAGGGATCAATGTCTTCTAGTTTTACTCCTGGGTCAGTTGTTGATAGTACCTGACATTTTTTTTTCTTGCATTGAGGCTCAAGGGAAATTGTTTTCTAATGCTTTTTCAGAAGACCAAATCTCTAACTTCAGAAGCTGCTTAGGTGGGTGCTTTGAGAATGCAGCTTCCATCTGTTGTTGATAAAGCAGGAGTTAATCTTAGAAGTCTCCTGCAGCAATTAGTGATAACAGCTTATATTAGTAGCATCTAGTATTGGAAGTAATTCACAAATACATGAGGAAGCCTGTTATTAACTCAGAAGGAGATAACTTATGGGCCTTAGAATGGACTGACCTTATTGCCATCAAGGCAAATAGAAGTACTTTGGGCTTTGGAAGTTAGATGGAAGTTAGAGAACTTTGAAAGCTATTTTTTAGAATTCTATTAGTTCTCTTTATCTTTCCTGAAATTTGTGGATGCAAAAAGATAGCGGAGTTTCTAAAAAGGTAAAGCTTTACAGTTATTTAATATCAGTGAAATGTGTGTCCTCTTACTGGAGATAAACATTGAGATTTCACATTCAGGAATACAAAATTAATAAATTCTTTTCTACTATTACAGTAATAGGTCTCCGGCAAGGAGAACCCCTAAACCCCTTAAGAATAAATAACCCTAATGTACTCATAGTCCATTTAGAGGTGTTCAACAGAACTCCAAGACTGGGCTCCAGTTCATGTTCTACCCTTAAAGTTTTGCCAGGATTGGGTCATTGACAGGTAGGCAGGACATACATCCTTGGCAATAACCCTAAAATTGCCCCACCAACATTGGTTCAGCATCATTATCAATGTATCTCTACTATTGTGGGTAATACCATGAAGACTTTTTGCTGGACTCCACTTTAATTATGGCTATTTCCTTTGGTAACAGTGAAGCATCTCAAGATTATAATTATTATTTAAAATTTTAATTTAAAAATTTTCCCCATAGGTTATTGGGGGTACAGGTGGTGTCTGGTTACATGGCATCTTAAGATACTTTAATTTGCCATTCATTTCGTAGAGGTTCCTGAAGCGGTCAGGAAATCTTTGTTTTTAAAGCACTCCAAAGTCATTGACGAACCACCAAAACATATGTACTATCAGTATAAATATTTGCTCTGTTATCCTTTAACAGCTGGTTGGTCTAGGCCAGGGCAATTCCTACACTAACAGAGGACCTGGGATGGCATACTGAGTCAGCCACTTACTAGGTAAGAAACTTTGGGCAAATTAATTTTTTTAGCCTCAGATTCTTCATACATGAAATAGTAATACTTGTCTCACAGAACCGTGAGCATCTAATGAGTTATTGTACAATAACCAACCTATCACTAAGTCCTTCACATTGATTATTTCCTTTAATTATCACACCCATCCTATGCGATGGCCTATTATCATCGTTTTATAAACACAAAGTCACACCACTTTAAGTGGTGATGCCAGGATTCAAACTCCGATCTTTCTGATGCCAGTGCCCAGTTCTTAATCCCTCTAACAACCCGTGACACTTTTCCACGGTTAGGTTCAAGCGCCCACCATACAGCTTGACACTTTAGGAGATACTCAACCTTTAAAACTTTATAATTTGCATGTGTGATTATAACGGGTACGTCCTAGAGTTTGATCTCTTCTCTGTGCAGGGGCGAAACTCGACCCCAGCCGAGAACTACACTGTCCTTGCGCGGGGCCCTCTGCGCCCCGGAAGGCGCCCAGTCCCGGTTTATTGTGAGCTTACAGTACAGTTCGCAAGGTCCCGGCCGGTGACGGCGGCGAGGCGGCAACGTCGCCTGTAGCAAACCTCCGCCCTAAGGCGTTCCCGCCGGGCCTCGCGCGGCGTCCCTAGCAACGCGCGCGCGGTCTTCCGGCCCCGCCCAGGCGGGCGGCACTGCGCCTAAGCTGGGCCACAACCGCCAGTCAGGGCTCTCCCCTTCCCCTCCCTCCCCCCCTCCTCCTCCTCCTCTGCCGCCCAGAGCGAGACACCAACATGGAGCCCGAGGATCTGCCATGGCCGGGCGAGCTGGAGGAGGAGGAGGAGGAGGAGGAGGAGGAGGAGGAGGAGGAAGAGGAGGAGGCTGCAGCGGCGGCGGCGGCGAACGTGGACGACGTAGTGGTCGTGGAGGAGGTGGAGGAAGAGGCGGGGCGGGAGTTGGACTCCGACTCTCACTACGGGCCCCAGCATCTGGAAAGTATAGACGACGAGGAGGACGAGGAGGCCAAGGCCTGGCTGCAGGCGCACCCCGGCAGGATTTTGCCTCCGCTGTCGCCCCCGCAGCACCGCTACTCGGAGGGCGAGCGGACCTCCCTGGAGAAGGTGAGGCGGGCCGGGGAGGGGTGTGGAGCCGCGGCGAGTTGGGGGTGGAGGCTGGGCCCCGAGCGCTCCGCCCGCCCGCAGGTCACGCCGCCTGACGGAGAAAACGCGCGCAGCTGAGGCTAGTAGGCGGCCCAGACTCCAGCCCAGGTGCCGGCCGGCTGCTCCGCGTCTCCCAGGCTTTGTGGCAAAGACTTCTCGTTTCCTCCCCCTCGGTGGGTCCTGGGCCTTTTGAACTCCCGTAGACGTTCAGGGGAGCCTGCATTCCCCGTGAGAAACGCTGAGAGAGGACCACGGGTGTGTCGAGCCTTGAAGGAGGGAAAAGGCGGTGTAGGACCGGAGCGAGTGGTTGCCTGGGGAGCATCTTGTTGGGGAGACAGTGAACAGATGAGCTTGACTGAATTGCAGGACTCCCCTGAGGGAGTAATGTGGATAATGTACACCGCGCGATCACTTAGTCTGGAGAGGCTCCCCGCGGGTTTTCCTCCCCTGGACCATCATTTGTAGCAATAAAGGGGTTCCCCAGCCGATAGGAGGGGCTTGGAATGCAGGAGGCTTGTGATGCGGCTCCAAACAGTCTGCAAAACTACAAAGCACAGATAATACACAATGGAGAAAGCCGATTTCATGGTAGACCCCCGAAGATCATTTTGAAAATAACTCTCCATTTAATTTGCTGCCCTTACCCCCCTTTTTTTAACTTACTGCTTTTCGAGGAGCAAGACCTGCCCTGCTCAGTACAGTAGCCACTGGCCACGTGTGGCTTTTTACATCTTAAAGAGAAAACTATTATAGTTTTGAGTAAGAGTTAAAAATAAATTAAATGAAAAATTCCATGCGTCTGTTCTTACCGGTTTTCAAGTGCTCAGCAGCCACACTAGGCTAGTGGCTACCATGTTGGACAGAGCAGATAATGGAACAGTTCCATCATCACAGACAGTGAAGGTGTAGAGTTTTGTCACTAATGAGCAGTAGTTGTTGTTTTGTCTGGTGAATATTCCAGGGGGTACTTAATTCATTGAACATGTATTATTAGAATTCACCATGTGCCACACATTGTGCTGGGTGCTAAGGAAAGCTTGGTGAACCCAAACATTTTTGGTCTCTGCCTTCCTTGTGTTCATGGTCTAGACAGGGAGGCAGACAGATTTCAGATGATCACATAAAGTGAAACTAATATATGTGCTAATATTCTATGAAAGCATAAAGTAAGATAATCTGGCCTTGTCAGTGAAGTTGGGAAAGCCTTCTTGAGGAGGTTATGATAGAGCTGATATCTGAAGACAGTTTAAGGTTAATCAGGCAAAGGGGAGGGAAAGAGCCGTCTAGCTGAGGGAAAAACACATGAAAAGGTACTGTTGATGAGAGAGAGCATGGCATTTTCCAGGACCCAGAAGCCAACGTGGTTTGAGCACAGACTGCAAGGCTTTGTGTGCTATGCCAAGGATTTAGGGGCTTTATCTCTGGAGCTTTGGGGAGTTGAAGAAAATATTTGAAACGAGGGGATGTATGATAAGTTAGGTGTTTCAGAAAGGTCAGGTGTATAGCAGAGTGTGGAACAGCTGTGATAGCAAGGTGGGATGGGGAGCAGTAGCCATAGGTCAAGGGCATAAATTAGGAGACCATTGCAGCATTGCCCGGCAAAAGATGATGAAAGTTTGGAATAGGGAAGTGTTGGTGGATACAGGGAAAAGTGGACTGATTTGAGAGATATTTAAGAGGCAAAATCATCATACTTAATAACGGATGGGATGTGAAAGGTGAAGTAGCCAGGTGTTAGGTTATTGTTTGAATGGTTGTGCCAATATTAAGATATGGCCAGATTTATGGTGGAGGTGGTGGCTGTGAGTGGGTGGTGGAATTGGTTGGGTGAGTCTTAAGATTATGAGTTTGGTTTTGAAGATTGAAGGAGAAGGCTGGGCTAGAGATTTCAAGTTGTAAGTCATTTACATAGAGACCATAATTAAAGCCACACTTGTTGACTAGGTCTTCTAACTTTTATTTTGTCCTGTGACTTCTTGCTTGAATAACTATTAATATTCAAACTTTATCTTGAAGCCTAGAGGAGGAGTTTTTTAAACAAAATTTTAATTTAATTTTAGATTTGGGGGTACATATGCACGTAATTAACATGGATATATTGCATAATGGTGAGGTTTGGGCTTCTAGTGAACCTCTCACCCAAATAATATACCTTTGTACGTGATAGTGTAACATTGTACTTGATAGGTAATTTTTCAGCCCTTCTCTCCTCCTTCTGGAGCCCCCAGTGTCTGTTTATTTCCATCTTTATGTCTGTGGGTACTTATTGTACCCATTTATCTTTATGCCTCTGTGTACCCATTGTACCCACTTGTCTTACCAGTGAGAGCATGTGGTATTTGATTTTCTGTTTCTGAATTGTTTCACTTGATAAATAGCCTCCAGGCTCCATCCATGTTGCTGCAAAGGACAGGATTTCATTCTGTTTATAGCTGCATAATATTCCACAATGTATATTAATACATACTACATTTTCTTTACCCATTCAGTTGTTGATGGACACTTAGGTTGATTTCATGACTTTGCTATTGTGAACGGTGCTGTGATAAACATATGAGCACAGATTTTTTTCTTTTTTTTTAATGGCGTCTAGCTGGTGTAGAACACCTGGGCTCAAGTGATACTCCGCCTTGGCTTCCCAAAGTGCTGGGATTACAGGTGTGAGCCAGTGTGCCTGGCTCAGATGTCTTTTTGATGAAATGATTTAATTTCCTTTGGAGAGATACCCAGTAGTAGGATTGCTGGGTCAAATGGTAGTTCTGTTTTGAGTTCTTCAAGAAATCTCCATACTGCTTTCCATAGGAGTTGAACAATTTACATTCCCAACAACAGTGTATACGTGTTCCCTTTTCTTCTCATCCTTGCCAACATCTGTTTTTTGACTTTTTAATAATAGCCATTCTGACTGGTGTGAGATGGTATCTCATTGTGATTTTAATTTGCATTTCTCTGATGCTTAGTGATGTTGAGCATTTTTTCATGTTTTTTGGCCGCTCGTATGTCTTCTTTTGAGAAGTGTCTGTTCAGTCTTTTGCCCGCTTTTTAGTGGGGTTATTTGTTTTTTCTTCCTGTTGATTTGTTTGAGTTCCTTATAGATGCTGGATATTAGTCCTTTGTCAGATGCATAGTTTGCAGATATTTTCTCCCATCCTGTAGGTTGTCTGTTTACTCTGTTGGTAGTTTATTTTGCTGTGCAGGAGCTCTTCTAGTTTAATTAAGTTCCATTTGTCTGTTTTTATTTTTGTTGCATTTGCTTTTGAGGTCTTAATCATAAACTTTTTTCCTAAGTATTCTTTAGGATTATTATAATTTCGGGCCTTACATTTAAATCTTTAATCTATCTTGAGTTAATCTTTGCATATGGTGAGAGATAGGGACCCAGAGGAGGAATTTTTAAGCTAACCCTCTTTTACTACAGCCAATGTGAGAAAATTATTTTCCTGTTTAATAATGAACTATCTTTTTTTTCCCCCGCCGAGATGAAGTCTTGCTCTGTTGCCCAGGCTGGAGTGCAGTGTCACGATCTTGGTTCACTGCAACCTCTGCCTCCTGGGTTCAAGCAATTCTCCTGCCTCAGCCTCCCGAGTAGCTGGGATTACAGGTATCCACCACCACGCCTGGCTAATTTTTGTAGTTTTAGTAGAGATGGGGTTTCACCATGTTGGCCAGGCTGGTCTTGAACTCCTGACCTGTGATCTGCCTGCCTCAGCCTCCCAAAGTGTTGGGATTAGAGGCATGAGCCACCGCGCCCGGCCTCTAATCGTGAACTATCTATGGGTAATAGAAAATCTTACTTCTGAGAGCCCAGAGTATTTTTTCCTCCCCACAGTTTTTTCTTTCCCCTGAGAAAAATTAGATATTTTCTTATTTACCTGAGAGAATATATGATAATATATAGAATATATAGATGATTTTCTGTATTAAAGGTAGATTTACAATGATACAAGGAGTGTTCAGATAATTTTTCCTTTAGTTCACTGGCATATTGAAACTTACTGGCATAGGTTGGAAAGTGTTTAAGGAAAAAATGCTTAGTATGTTTCTTGCTAGAAATTTATGAACTATGAAATTCTTAGATGTGTTGTATAACATCTAATGCTGCGTATTTAGAGGATGAGATCAAATAATAGGAAACATTAATTTCATCCAGTTTACTCTCAAGTTAAATGACAAAATTGTGTTATTCAATTTACTCTCATATCTCACTAGATAATAAGGGAGTTATAGTGGTGTTATATAAGGCAGTGATTAAGTTTGTAGTCCTGTTACTAAGGCTGAGTTAAACTATGATACTGTTTAAATTTGAAGCAAAATATGACCAGTCTTATAACTAAGTCTTTTTAAGAGGGAAGTGAGTGATTCAGAGCCTTATGTTGTTTTTATGCTGGTCCTACAGACCATTCAGGCACTTCTTGTAATTCCTTAACCTGAATTTCTGAGTTGTGCTGGGGAAGATAATTCAGTTCTCTGGGTTGGCATCACTAGAAATTCTTGGTCTCCAACTTTTAATTGGGTCATCAACAGTGCTTGGAAATCTTTTTTTTTTTTCTTTTTAAGATGGAGTCTCTCGCTTTTGTCACCAGGCTGGAGTGGCAGTGGCCCGATCTTGGCTAACTGCAACCTCCGCCTCCCGGGTTCAAGTGATTCTCCTGCCTCAGCCTCCGCAGTAGCTGGGACTACAGATGCGCGCCACCATGCCCAGCTAATTTTTGTATTTTTAGTAGAGATGGGGTTTCACCATGTTGGCCAGGATGGTCTTGATCTCTTGACCTCAGGTTATCCACCCGCCTCGGCCTCCCAAAGTGCTGGCATTACAGATGTGATGAGCCACTGCGCCCGGCCCAACAGTGTTTGGAAATCTTTAGTTTCCTCTCTGTCAGCTTCTTTCCCCATCTTCCCTCTTAACTTCTGTCTCCCACCCAGAGTTCAACATCCCCCCATAAGCAGGTTACAGTTTCAAAGAAGAGAACACAGGCTGAACCTCTCCCGTTTCTGCTCCCCATCTCCAAATTTATCTACAGTGCACAATTTATTTTTTTAACCTATTCATATACGTTTTATTCTTTTTTTTTTTTTTTTTGAGACGGAGTCTCGCTCTGTCACCCAGGCTGGAGTGCAGTGGCGCAATCTCGGCTCACTGCAAACTCAGCCTCCCGAGTTCATGCCATTCTCCTGCCTCAGCCTCCCGAGTAGCTGCGACTACAGGCGCCCGCCACCACGCCCGGCTATTATTTTGTATTTTTAGTAGAGACGGGGTTTCACCGTGTTAGCCAGGATGGTCTCCATCTCCTGACCTCGTGATACACCCGCCTCGGCCTCCCAAAGTGCTGGGATTACAGGCTTGAGCCACCGTGCCTGGCCTTGTATACGTTTTATTCTTAATATTAATCCTGTTTTGTGTTCCTAGGGTAAAAACTATTTAGTCGTAGTGTGCTTTTCTCTTGAGGAACTGCTAGATTTTATTTGCAGATATTTGATAATGGTTTTAAATGTTTTTCTGTTTGTTTTTTGTTTTCTTGGCCAGTATTTATCAAACTTGACATCAATATTATGCCATTTTCATAAAAGGTACTTGGATGATTTTTGTTTTTCTGGAACAGTGTAAGTACAAAGGAATTTTTCTTTCTTGTATGTTTGAAAGATATCACCATTTAAACTATCTCTGTATTCCTTTCAGGGTTGTAGTCTATATATGTTCTCCTTTCTTGGGTTAATTTTGGTGGTTTTCCTAGGAAATCATTCTTTTCAGTAAGGGTTTCTAGTTAATTTTAATGGAGTGCTACACAGTATTCTTTATTTTTTCATTTGCCTCTGTGGTTATTTTCACTTCTCATTCCCAATTTTGTGTAATTATGCTTTATTTTTCTCCTGATTTGACTAGGTAGGGGTTTATTTAATTTATTTTTCATTCAAGGACACAGCTCTTGATTTAAGTTTCTGTTGCTGTTTATTTTTTAATTATTAAAAATTATTAATTTTAATAATAAGTTCAGTTTTCATCTTTTACTATTTCCTTAGGTTTACTTTGATGTGTGTGTGTGTGTGTGTGTGTGTGTGTGTGTGTGTATTTCCTTGTGTTGAGTGCTTAATTGACTTACTTAAAAACATTTTAATAGCTTTTTTGAGATATCATTCATATACTGTACAATTCACCTTTAATTTAAAGTGCACAATTCAGTCATTTTCTGTATATTCATAGATATGTGCCATCATGATCACGGTCAATTTTAGAACATTTTATCACTTCTAAAAGAAACCCCATACACTTTAGCTGATATCCCCCGTCTTCCATTCCCCATATGCAACTATTAATCTACCTTCTGTCTATAGATTTACCTATTTTGGGCATTTCATATAAATGGAATGATATGTGTTTTTGTGACTGGGCTTCTTTCACTTAGCTTAATGGTTTCAGGATTCACCTGTGATGTGGCATGTATCAGTACTTCATTACTTTATATGGCTGAATAATATTTTATTATATGGATATGTGATATTTTGTATATCCATTCATCAGTTGATGGACATGTTTTTTTTCCTCCTTTTTGGCTATTATGTATAATGCTACCGTAGACATTCTTATATAAGTGTATGTGTGGACATATGGATTCATTTCTCTTGGATGTATATCTAGGAGTAGAATTTTTGGGACATATGGAATTCTGTTAACCTTTTAAGTTTCTGCCAGATTGTTTTCCAAAGTGGCCTTCCTATTAGCAGTGTATGAGAGTTCCAGTTTCTCCACATCCTTATCAGCACTTGTTATTACCTGACTTTTTTGTAGTTTTGATTTGCATTTCCCTTATGGTTCATGCATCTATTCATGTGCTTCTTGGCCATTTGTGTGTCTTCTTTGGAGAAATATCTATTCAGGTCAAACTTTTGCCCATTCTTTAATTGGGTTATTTGTCTATTTACTATTGGATTGTAAGAATTCTTTATATATATGCATATTACATATATAATCCCTTATCAATCAAGGGATTGACAAGATACAGTCCCTTGACAAATGTGAGGTCATGAGGACCTACTATGTTTTCTTTGAGATTTTATAGTATTGCTATTACATGTAGGTCTTTGATCCATTTTGAGTTAATTTTTGTATACGATATGAAGAAAGGGTTCAAACTTTATTCTTTCGTATGTGACTATCCAGCACTGTTTTTTTTTTTAAATTTTATTGATTTGTGTAAATTTATAGAGTTCAAGTATAATTTTGTTACATTGATATATTGCATAGCGGTAAAGTCAGGGCTTTTAGTGTATCCATCACTGGAGTAGCCTACGTTGTACTCATTAAGTAATTTCTCTTCATCCACCCCACTCTCACACTCCCCACCCTTCCAAGATTCCACTCTCTGTCATTCCATACTCTGCTTCCACATGTACTTGTTGTTTAGCTCCCACTTGGAAGAATAGGCAGTTTGTCTTTCTGCAGCACCATTTGTTAAAGAGGCTGTTCTTTTCCCCATTGATTGGTCTTAGTACCCTTGTAGAAAATCAGTTAGCCATAGATATATGGGTTTATTTCTGGATTCCCAATTCTATTTCATTGATCTATATGCCCACCTTATTCCAGGAAACACTTTTTTTTTTTTTTTTCTGAGATAGGTGTCTCTTTGTTGCCCAGGCTGGAGTGCATGCAGTGGTGCAATCTCGGCTCACTGCAACCTCCACCTCCTGGGCTCAAGTGGACCTCCTATCTCAGCCTACCAAGTAGCTGGAACTACAGGCACATGCCACCATGCCTGGCTAATTTTTGTAGGTTTTGTAGGGATGGAATCTCACCATGTTGCCCAGGCTGGTCTCAAACTCTTGGGCTAAAGCCATCTGCCCACCTCGGCCTCTCAATGTGCTGGGATTACAGGCGTGAGCCACCATGCCTGACTAGGAGACACTCTTTTGATTAATATTGCTTTATAGTAAGTTTTGAAATGGGGGAGTTCTCCAACTTTGCTTTCCTTTTTCAAGATATTTTAGCCATTCTGGAGCCCCTTGCAATTCCATATGAATTTTAGATTAGCTTGTCAGTTTCTGCAAAGAAGCCAGCTAGTATTTTGATAGAGATTGTGATGAATCTGTAGATCAATTTGGGAGTATGGTCATCTTGATATTAAATCATCTGGTCCTTTTTTTTGTTGTTGTTGAGATGGTGTCTTGCCCAGGCTGGAGTGCAGTGGTGCAATCTCAGCTCACTGAAACCTCTGCCTCCTGGGTTCAAGCAGTTCTCCTGCCTCAGCCTCCAGTAACTGGGATTACAGATGCACACCACCATCCCTGGTTTATTTTTGTATTTTTAGTGGAGACGGGGTTTCACCATGTTGACCAGGCTGGTCTCGAACTCCTGACTTCAAGTGATCCACCTGCCTTGGCCTCTCAAAGTGCTGGGATTGCAGGCGTGAGCCACCGTGCCTGGCCTAATCATCTGGTTCATGAACATGGGATATCCTTTCATTTATAGTTGTGTCAATTAATGATGAGGATACATTCTGAGAAATGTTTCATTACAGTATTTCATTGTTGTGCAAACATCATATAGTGTACGTACACAAACCTAGATGGCATAGCCTACTACACACCTAGGCTATATAGTCTAACTGTTTGCTCCTAGGCTACAAACCTGTACAGCATGTTACAGTACTGAATACTGTAGGCAGTTGTAACACTGTGGTAAGTATTTGTGTTGGATACGTTTGTGTATCTAACACAAATACTTAGAAAAGGTATAGTAAAAATATGGTATTTTACATATATATGTGTATATATATATGTGTATATATATGTGTATATATATGTGTATATATATGTGTGTGTATATATATATATGTGTATATATATATATATATATTTTTTTTTTTTTTTTTTTTTGAGACAGAGTCTCGCTCTGTCACCGAGGCTGGAGTGCAGTGACACAATCTCCGCCCACTGCAACCACCGCTTCCCAGGCTCAAGTGATTCTCATGTCAGCCTCCTGAGTAGCTGGGATTACAGGTGTGTGCCACCATGCCTGGCTAATTTTTGTATTTTTAGTAGAGATGGGGTTTTGTCATGTTGCCTAGGCTGGTCCCGAACTCCTGACTCAAGTGATCTGCCCACCTTGGCCTCCCAAAGTGCTGGGATTAGAGGTGTGAGCCACCATGCTGGGCCGGTATTATAATCTTATAGGACCACCATTATGTATGTGGTCTGTAGTTGATGGAAATGTTCTGATGTGGCATACAACTGTAATTAGATCTTCTTTAAATTTCAATAATGTTTTATAGTTTTCAGAATTGCACTTTTTTTCTTAAATTCTTCAAAATACTGTTTTTAATGGTATTGTCAGTGGAATTATTTTTCTTAATTGAATGTTTGGGTTATTCGTTGTAGATGTTTAAAAACACTTGATTTTTATATATATTAATATTGTTTCTGAATCTCTTCTGAACTTGTTTATTCATCCTAGTAGATTATTTGTGGGTTCTCTATGATTTTCTTGTAAAGATCATGTCAAGGGCAAATATATATAGCTTTATTTTTTCTTTCCAATCTGGATGCCTTTTATGTATTTATTTATGGCTAATTGCCCTGGCTAGAACCTTTAGTAAAATATTCAATAGGAGGGGTAAGAGTGTATATGCTTTTTTATTCCTGATCTTAGGGCAGGGGTGTCCAATCTTTTGGCTTCTCTGGGCTACATTGGAAGAATTGTCTTGGGCCACACATAAAATACACTAACAATAGCTGATGAGCTAAAAAAAATTGCAAAAATATAATGTTTTAAGAAGGTTTACGAATTTGTGTTGGGCCACATTCATGGTCCTCGGCTGTGGGTTGGACAAACTTGTCTTAGGGAGAAAGCATCCTGTCTTTTACCCCCGAGTATGATGTTAGTTGTGGGTTTTTAATAGATGCCCTTATCATATTGATGAAGTTTCTATCCCTAATTTCTTAAGTGTTTTTAATAATAATTTTGTCAAATTATTAATCGATGTATTACATTAATTGATATTAGGTTATTAAACCAGCCTTGTGAAAATAACTCACTTTGTCACAGTGTATAAACATTTTATGTGTTGCCTGTCATAGAAATACACACACACACACACACACACACACACACACACACGCTTGTATTTTGTTTAGAGTTATTCCATCTATATTTGTAAGATATATTGGTCTGTAGTTTTCTTTTGATGCTTTTGTCTGGTTTGGTATCAGGGTAATATTGACCTCATAAAGTGAATTGAAAGTATTCCTATTGGTTTTGGAAGAGTTTGTGAAGGACTGGCATTAATTCTTTGAAAGTTCGATAGGTTACATCAAATGGGTCTGAGCTCTTTTTTTTTTTTTTTTTTTTTGCAGGATGGGGCATAGTATTTTAATTACTAAATCACTCTTTTTTCTTCTTATGGGTCTATTCAGATTGTCCATTCTTTTTTTTTTTTTTTGAGACGGAGTCTTGCTCTGTCGCACAGGCTGGGGGTGCAGTGGCGCGATCTCAGCTCACTGCAAGCTCCGCCTCCCAGGTTCATGCCATTCTTCTGCCTCAGCCTCCCAAGTAGCTGGGACTACAGGCGCCTGCCACCACGCCTGGCTAATTTTTTGTATTTTTAGTAGAGACGGGGTTTAACCGTGTTAGACGGGATGGTCTCGATCTCCTGACCTCGTGATCCACCCTCCTCGGCCTCCCAAAGTGCTAGGATTACAGGCTTGAGCTACCGCGCCCAGCCTGGTTAGGCTCTGGTAAAATAGTTTGAGGGCAAGTTTTCTAAGAAGAACAAAATACTCTGGGAATATTCAAAATGGTTATCCCCAACCCCCTCCCCCTAACTGGGGGGTAGGTATTTTTCTCTCATCTTAACTGTGGTAACATGCTAGGGGTTGTGGAGATAAAACTTACAGAAGCATGGAGGCCCTTCATAAGACTGGTTTCCCTGCGGCTTTTAATTCTCAAAGTTGTCGCATTGCACCTCCAGCAATTTGTCAATTACACTAGATTTTTCTTCCCTAGTACTAGTTAGTTCCCACAGTGGTTTCTGTTCTTGGGATTCTGCTCTGGTAAGTTGTGATTCTCTGTGTATGTACCTCTCCAATTTTTGGAACAATAGTTTGCCCTTCATCTCAGTTCTCTGATGGATATAAGAAGAGTTTTGATTTTTTAGTTTGTTCAGCTTTTTTTTTTTATGATGGGGATGGGAGTGATTACTTCCAAGCTCTTTATATGCTTCACCAGACCTCTGTTTTGGGGTTTTTTTGTTTTGTTTTGTTTTTGAGATGGTGTTTCGCTCTTGTTGCCTAGGCTGGAATGCAATGGCATTATCTTGGCTCACTGCAACCTCTGCCTCCCGGATTCAAGTGATTCTCCTGCCTCAGCCTCCTGAGTAGCTGGGTTTACAGGCATATGCCACCACGCTCAGCTAATTATTTTTCTTGTATTCAGTAGAGATGGGATTTCACCATGTTAGGCTGGTCTCGATCTCCTGACTTCAGGTGATCCACCTGCCTCGGCCTCCCAGAGTGCTGGGATTACAGGCGTGCGGTTTTGCTTTTAAACAGACTTTATCTTTTAGGGCAGTTTTAGGTTCACAGCCACATTGAATGGGCAATACAGAGTTCCCATCTGTGCCCTGCCCCTCTCCATAGCCTCCCTCACTGTTAACATCCTGAATCAGAGATGTGTCTTTTGCAAATATTTTCTTCCAGTCTATAGCTTGTCTTTTTATTCTTTTGACAGTGTTTTTCACAAAGCAGAATAAGTTTTTAATTAAATCCAGCTTATCAATTATTTCTTTCATAGATTATATGCCTTTAGTATTGTATCCAAAAAGCCATCACCAAACCCAAGGACATCTAGATTTTCTCCTATGTTATCTTCTAGGAGTTTTATACTTTTGCACTTTGCATTTAGGTCTTTTTATACTTTTGCACTTTGAATTAATTTTTGTGTGTGAAGGATGTCAGATCTGTTTCTGGGTTCATTGTTTTGCATGTAAATGTCCAGTTGTTCCAGCACCATTTGTTGAGAAGACTTTCTCCATTGTATTGCCTTCGTTTTTTGGTCAAAAAATCAATTGAATACATTTATATGGGTCTATTTCTGGGCCTTCAATTCTGTTTTATTGATCAATGTGTCTATTTCGTTGATACATGCTGTCTTTATTACTGTAGCTTTATGGTAAGTCTTGAAGTTAGGTAGTGTCAGTCCTCCAATTCGGAGTCTTTTGCCCCTCCATATAAACTTTAGATTGAATTCATTGATGTGTATTAAAAATTGCTGGGATTTTGATTGGGATTGCGTTGATCTTAATAGATCAAGTTGGGAAGAACTGACATCTTGACAATATTGAGTATTTCATGAAGTTGAAATACCTTCTCATTTATTTAGTTCTTTGATTTCATTCATCGAGTTTTATAGTTTTCCTCATATAGATCTTACATGTATTAAGTTAGATTTATACCTAAATATTTTATTTCTTGGGTTGTTAATGTAAATGGTATTATTGTACTTTTAACTTCAAATTCCACTTGATTGCTGGTATACAGGAAGTGATTGACTTTTATATATTAACCTATATTCTGCAGTTTTGCTAGTTTTACTTATTAATTCCAGGAAAGTTTTGTCAGTTCTTTTGGATTTTCTTTTTTTTTGAGATGGAGTCTGGCACTGTCACCCGGGCTGGAGTGCAGTGGTGTGATCTCAGCTTACTGCAACCTCTGCCTCCCGGGTTCAAGCGATTCTCCTGCCTCAGCCTTCTGAGTAGCTGGGATTACAGGCGCCTGCCACCATGCCTGGCTAATTTTTGTTTTTTTTGTATTTTTAGTAGAGATGGAGTTTCACTATGTTGGCCAGGCTGGTCTCAAACTCCTGACCTTGTGATCTGCCCTTCTCAGCCTCCCAAAGTGCTGGGATTACAGGCGTGAGCCACTGCGCCTGGCCTGGATTTTCTGTATAGACAGACAGTCATGTCATCTGCAAACAGAGTTTTATTTCCTCCTTCCCAGACTGTGTACCTTTTATTTCCTTTTCTTGTCTTATTGCATTAGCTATGACCTCCAATACACTGTTGGACAGTGGTGAGAGGGTGTATTATGTCGTCATTGTGTTGCTATGAAGAAACACCTGAGGCTGGGTAAGTTACAATGAAAAGAAGTTTAATTGGCTCATGGTTCTGCAGAGTATGAGAAGCTTGGTGCCAGCATCTGCTTCTGGTGAGCTTACAATCATGGTGGAAGGTGAAGTGGGGGCAGGCGTCTCACATGGCGAGAGCAGAAGCCAGAGAGCAAGGGAGGAGGTGCCACTCTTTTAAACAACCAGGTCTTGTGTGAACTTAGAGTGAGCGCTCACTTATCACTAAGGGAATGGTGTTAAACTAATCATGAAGGATCTGCCCCCATGATCCAGTCACCTTGTACCAGACCCCACCTCCAACACTGGGGATTACATTTCAATATGAGATTTGAAAGGGACAGATATCCAAATCATATCAGAGAGGGAATCCTTGCCTTGTTCTTGATCTTAGAGGCAAAGCTTCGAGTTTCATTAGGTATGATATTAGTTGTAGGATTTTTTGTAGATACTCTATGTCAAGTTGAGAATATTCCCCTCTATTCCTATTTTAATGAGAATATCGTGAAGAGGTTGTCAAATGTTTTTTCTGCATCTGTTATATGATCATGTGGTTTTTCTTCTAAAGCTTGTCAACATGATGGATTATATTAATTGTTTTTTTTTTTTTTTTTTTGAGACAGGGTCTGGCGTTGTCACCCAGGCTAGAGTGCAGTGTTGCCATCTTGGCTCACTGCAACCTCTGCCTCCAAGGCTCAAGCCGTCCTCCTACTTCACCCTCCTGAGTAACTGGGACCACAGGCATGTGCCACCATACCAGGCTAATTTTTGTATTTTTTTTAGAGGTGGCAGAGGGGGGTCTCACTTTGTTGCCCAGGCTGGTCTCGAACTCCTGAGCTCAAGTGATCTGCTCACCTTGGCCTCTCAAAGTGCTGGAATTACAGGTGGGAGCCACTGTGTCCAGCCTTAACTGACTTTTGAATGTTGAATCAAGTTTGCGTACGTGGGATAAACCCACTTGTCATGATGTACAATACTTTTGTACATTGTTAAATTTGATTTGCTAATATTTTGCTGAGAATTTTTACATTGATATTCATGGGAGATAATGGTCTGTTGTTTTCTTTTTTGGTAATATGTTTGTCTGGTATTGGCAGTAGGGTAATACAGACTTCATAGAATGATTAAGAAGTATTCTCTCTGATTCTGTCTTCTGAGAGATTTTAGAGAACTGGTACAATTTCCTCCTTCAGGGTTTGGTAGCATTACCAGTGAACCTGTCTGGGTCTGGTGCTTTCTGTTTTAGAAGGCTATTAATTTATGATTCAGTGTTTCGAATAGATATAGGCCTCTTCATTTTGTCTATTTTTGTGTCAGATTTGACAGATTATCTTTTTTAAGAAATCGTTCATTTTATCTAGGCTATCAAATTTGTGGGCATAGAGTTGTTTATAGTGTTCCTTTATTATCCTTTTAATGTCCATGAGATCTGTTGTGATGTCCTCTCTTTCTTTTTTCTTTTTTTTGAGACAGAGTCTTGCTGTGTCACCGAGGCAGGAGTGCAATGGCGCAGTCTCCCTCACTGCAACCTCTGCCTCCTGGGTTCAAGCGATTCTTGTGCCTCAGCCACCTGAGTAGCTGGGATTATAGGTGTGTGCCACTATGCCCGGCTAATTTTTGCATTTTTAGTAGATTTAGGGTTTCGCCACTTTGGCCAGGCTGGTCTCAAACTCCTGGCCTCAAGTGATCTGCCCACCCTGGCCTTCCAAAGTGCTGGGATAACAAGAGTGAGCTACCATACCTGGCCTCATTTTTGATGTTCATAATTTGCATCCTTTATCTTATTTTATTAGCCTGGCCAGAGGTTTATTGATTTTATTGATCTTTTCAAAAGAACCAGCATTTAAGCTTTTACTGATTTTCTCTCTTTATTTGCTATTCTCAATTTCATTGATTTCTGCTCTACTTTTTATTTATTTTCTTCTCCTCACTTTAAATATGATTTATTCTTCTTTTTCTAGTTTCCTAAGTTGGAAGCTTTGATAATTGATTTCAGATTTTTTTCCTAATATATACATTCGGTGTTATAAATTTCCCAGTAAGCACTACTTTTGCTGCATCACAAATTTTGATAAGTTGTATTCTTACTTTCATTTAGTTGAAATATTTTTAAATTTCTTTTGAGAGTTTTTATTTGACCCACATGCTATTTAGAAATACACTGTTTAACCTCTTAAGTATGTTGGGATTTTCCAGCTATTTTTCTGTTATTGATTTCTAGTTTATTTTTTCCTTTATTGTATATATTTATACATCATGATGTTTTGATATACATATACCTAGTGAAATGGTTGCCATAGTCAAGCAAATTAACATATTCGTGATCTCACATAGTTACTGCCTTTTTTTTTTTGTGGCAAGAGCTTCTAAAATCCTTTTAGCAAGAATCCTAAATATAATACAATATTATTAACTATAGTACTTATATTTTACGTTGAATTGCTAAACTTGCTGATCCATCATACCTGCAACTTTGAATCCTCTGACCTGCATCTCCCCATTTCCTCCCCTGTTCCTCACTTCTACTTCTTTGTACTTGACTTTAAAAAATAGATTTCATATGTAAGTGAGATCATGCAGTATTTTTCTATCTTCCAGGTTTATTCATGTGACAAATGGCAGGATCACCTTCCTTTTTAAGGTTGAATAATATTCCTCCCCCTTCCCCTCCTCGTGTGTATGTGTGTGTGTGTTATGTGTGTGTGTGTGTGAGTGTGAGTGTATGTGTGTGTGTCTTGTAGTTTATTCATTCATCAATGGATGCTGTAGTTGTGTTCGTGGCTATTGTGATAATGCTGCAGTGAACATGGGAGTGCAGGTATCTGTATGAGGTGGTGGTTTCATTTTCTTTAGGTTTTTACCCAGAAATGGAATTGCTAGGTCATACAAGAAAAGTAGTCCTTTTCTTTCTTTTCTTTCTTTCTCTCTCTCTTTTTTTTTTTTTTTTTTTTTAAGACAGAATCTCGCTCTGTTGCTCAGGCTGGAGTACAGCGGTGTGTTCTCAACTCACTGCAACCTCCGCCTCCCGAGTTCAAGCGATTCTTGTGTCTCAGCCTCCTGAGTAGCTGGGGTTACAGGTGTGCACTACCCTGCCTGGTTAATTTTTGTATTTTTAATAGAGGCGGGGTTTCGTCATGTTGGCCAAGCTGGTCTCAAACTCCTAACCTCAGTGATCCTCCCACCGTGTTTGGATTACAGGCACGAGCCACCGCGCCCAGTCGTAGTTCTATTTTTAATTACTTTAGAAAACTTTATACTGTTTTCCGCAATTGCTGCACTGGTTTACATTGCCACCAGCAGTGTACAAGGGTTCTCTTTTTTCCACACCCTTGCCAACACTTATCTCTTGAATCTTTTTGTTTTTTAAATAATAGCCATCCTAACAAGTGTGAGATGATATTTCATTTTGGTTTTAATTTGCATTTCCCTGATGATAGTAATATTGAATATCTTTTCATATGCTGATTGGCCATTTTTCTTTTCTTTTTTTCTGTTTTGGAGAAATGTTTGTTCAGGTCCGTTGCCCATTCTAAAATTAGGTTGTTTGTTTTTCTTCTACTGAGTTGCACAAGTTCTTTATATATTGTGGAAACTGACTCCTTATCAGATATATGGTTTGCAGATATTTTCTCATCTGTAGTAGACTGTCTTCTCATTTTGTTGATTGTTTACTTAGATGTGAAACTCTTTAGCTTGATTTAGTTCTATTTATTTATTTTTGCTTTTGTAGCCTGAGCTTTTGTTGTGATATCCAAAACAACATTGCCAAGACAAGTGTCAAGGAGTTTTTCCCATATATTTTCTTCTAGGTTTATGGTTTTAAGTCTTCATGTTGAGTTCTTTAATCAACTTTGAGTTGATTTTTGCTGGTGGTGTAAGATAAAGGTCCAATTTCATTCTTTTGCATGAGGAAATTTAATTTTCTCAGCACCATTATTTGAAGAGATCTTCTATTCCCTATTGTGTCTTCTTGGTGCCCTTGTCAAAAATTAGCGAATCATATATGCTTGGGTTTATTTTTCTCTCTCTATTCTGTTCCATTGGTTTACATGTCTACTTTTTATGCCAGTACCACACTGTTTGGGTTACTATAACTTTGTAATATAATTTGAAACCAGGAAGTGTGCTTCCTCCAACTTTGTTTTTGTCTTACAGAATTACTTTGGCTCTTTAGAGTCTTTTGTGGTTCTATATGAATTTTAGATTTTTTTTTCTATTTTTGTGAAAAATGCCATTGGCATTTTCATAAGGATTGTGTTGACTTTGTATTGCTTTGGATAGTACATACATTTTAACAATATTAATTATTTCAGTCTGTGAACATGGAATATCTTTCTATTTATTTGTGTCCTTAATTTCTTTCATTAGTATTGTAGTTTTCAGTAGACAGATCTTTTGCCTTCTTGGTTACATTTATTTCTAAGTCTTTTTATTTTGTTTTTTGATGCTATCATAAGTGGGATGGTTTTCTTGATTTCTTTTTCATATAAGTAGTTATTTGTGTACAGAAGTGCAACTGATTTTCATATATTGATTTTGTATCCTGCGGCTTTACTGGGTTTATTCTTTTTTCTTTTTGAGACAGAGTCTCACTCTGTTGCCCAGGGTGGAGTGCAGTGGCTCGATCCCTGCTCACTGCAACCTCCACCTCCTGGGTTCAAGTGATTCTCCTGCCTCAGCTTCGCAAATAGCTAGGACTACAGGCGCGCTGCCACACCTGGCTAATGTTTACATTTTTAGCAGAGATGGGGTTTCACCATTGCTGGTCAGGGTGGTCTCAAACTCCTGACCTCAAGTGATCCACCCGCCTTGGCCTCCCAAAGTGCTGGGATTACAGGTGTGAGCCACTGTGCCTGGCCTATTCATTCTAACAGTGTCGATTTTAGTCTTTGGGGGTTTTCAGTATATAGGACTTTTTCCTTTCAATTTATATTTCTTTTTCTTGCCTAATCGCTTTAGTAGGATTTCCAGTGCTATGTTGAGTAGAAGGGTGAGAGCAAGCATCTTTGTCTTGCTTCTGATCTTAGAGGAAATGTTTTCAGTTTTTCACCATTGAGTATGATATGAGCTGTGGGACATACAGCTTTTATTATGTTGAGGTAGTTTTCTTCTGTTTATAGTCTGTTGACTTTTTTTTTTTTTAAATAATGAAAGGGTGTTGAATTTTGTGAAGTGCTATTTCGGTTTCATTTGAGATGATCATGTGGTTTTTGTCCTTCCATTAATGTGGTGTATTACATTGATCAATTTTTGTATGTTGAACCATCCTTGTATTCCACGAATTCCACTTGGTCATGGTGTGTAATCCTTTTAACGTACTGCTGAATTCTTATTGGTAATATTTTGTTGAGGATTTTTACATCAATAGTCGTCGGGGATACTGGTTTATAGTCTTCTAATGTCTTTGTCTGACTTTGGTATCAGGATAATGCTGGCCTCATAGAATGATTTGGAATGTTCCCTCCTGTGCAATTTTTTGGGATTGTTTCAGGAGGATTGGTGTTAATTCTTCTTTAAATGTATGGTAGAATTCTCCAGTGAAGCTTTCTTGTCCTGGACCTTTTTTTTTTTTTTTTTTTTTTTTTTTTTTGAGACAGGGTCTTACTTTGTCACCCAGGCTGGAGTGCAGTGGTGCAATCTCAGCTCACTGCAACCTCTGCCCTCCAGGCTCAAGCAGTCCTCCTACCTCAGCCTCCCAAGTAACTGTTACCACAGGCAAGCACCACCATGTCCAGCTATTTTCGTTGTATTTTTAGTAGAGACAGGATCTCACCATGTTGCCCAGGCTGGTCTCTAACTCCTGAGCTCAAGCATTTCTCCTGCCTTGGCCTCCCAAAGTACTGGGATTACAGGTGTGAGCCACTGCGCCTGGCCATGGGCTTTTCTTTTGTGGGAGGTTTTGGATTATTGATTCAATTTCCTTGTTGTTGGTCTGTTGAGATTTTCTTATTTTTTCATGTTACTCAGTCTTGGTAGGCTGTGTGTTTCTAGGAATTGATCTGTTTCTTCTAGGCTGTCCAATTAGTTGGAGTACAGTTGTTCATAGTATTCTCCTATGATCCTTTTTATTTCTATGGCATTGGTTGTCATGTCCCCTCTTTCATTTCTGAATTTAGTTATTTGAGGCCTTTTTTTTTCTCAGTCAGTCTAGCTAAAGGTTTGTCAGTTTTGTTTATATTTTCAAATAACTATTGGTTTTCTTGATTTTTTTCCTACTGTTTTTCTATTCTCTTTTCTTTATCTTTGCTCTAATCTTATTTTTTCCTTCTGATCACTTTGGGTTTAGTTTCTTTTTCTAGTTCTTCAAGGTGTAATGTTAGATTATTGACATGAATTTTTTTTTTTAAATATAGGCATTTACGACTGTAGATTACCTTCTTAGTCCTACTTTTGCTACATTCAATAAGCTTTGGTATTTTGTGCTTTAATTTTTGTCTTAATGTATTATTTCCTTTGTTACTTCTGTCGTGACCCATTGTCTTTTTAAGAGTTTGTTGTTTAATTTCTATAAATTTCTTGATTTTCCACTTTTCTTTCTGCAGCTACCTTCTAGTTTCATTCTGTTGTGATCAGAAAAGATACCTAATACTTTGTGGCCAACATGTGGTGTATCCTGGGGAATGTTTCACGTGCACTTGAGAAGAATGTATATTGTGCTGTTGTTGGGTGGAGTGTTCTGTATATGTATGTTAGGTCCAATTGGTCTGTAGTGCTGTTCAGGTCTTTTCTTTCCTTATTGATCTCATTCTATCCATCATGGAAAGTTGGTTATTGAAGTCTCTCACTGTTTTTGGAGAGCTCCCTTCAATTTTATCAATGTTTGCTTTAAGTATTTAGGAGCTCCAATGTCTGACACATATATAATTATTATATCTTATTTGTGCATTGACCCCATAGTGTTCTCCTTTGTCTATGGTATCAGTTTTGTTTAAAAATGTATTTTCTCTGATATTAGTGTTGCCGCTATTGCTCTCTTTTGGTTACCATTTGCATGGAATATCTTTTTGAATCTTTTTACTTAGAGCCTGTGTGTGTCCTTAGTTCCAAAGTGTCTTTTAAACAGCATATAGTTGGGTCCTGTTTTTTAATCCTATGGGTTTTTTTTTTTTTTTTTGGTAATTTCTTTGTCCTTTCATAGCTTGTTTTTCATTTCCTCCCCTTCTTTCTTTGTGTTTAGTCAATTTTTTTGGTAGGGATATATTTTGATTCTCTTATTTCCTTTTGTGTATATTCTGTAGCTATTTTCATTGTAGTTACCATGAGAATATCATAAAACTCCTTAGGAGGATAACAACCTGTTTAAACTAGTAACAACTTCACTTCAATCACATATAAAAACTCTAGTCCTTTATAGCTTTGCCCCCCAACCTCCACCTCCCGGGTTCAAGTGGTTCTCCTGTCTTAGTCTCCCAAGTAGCTGGGACTACAGGCACAGGCCACCATGCCTGACTAATGTTTACATTTTTAGCAGAGATGGGGTTTCGCCATTGTTGGCCAGGCTGGTCTCAAACTCCTGACCTCAAGTGATCCACTTGCCTTGCCTCCCAAAGTGCTGGATTACAGGCATGAGCCACCGCACCTGGCCAAAGTTATTAGTACCCTGTTAACAACATTTTACTGGTGTCACAAGTAACATGTTTATATATTGTTTAACCATTAACATACTTTCTTAGTTTGTTTTCTCTTGCTTATAACAATACTTGAAACTGGGTAGTTTATTTTAAAAAGTTATGGAGGCTGAGAAATCCAAGGTCAAGGGTGAGGGCCTGATGAGGGCCTTCTTGCTGATGGGGACTCTGCAGAATCCTGAGGTGGTGCAGGGCACATGGTGAGGGGGTTGGGCATGCTAGCTCAGGTCTCTCTTCCTCTTCTTATAAAGCTACCAGTCCACTCTCATGATAAGCCATTAATCCATTAATCCATCAAGTCATTAAGCCGTTCAGATCTGCCCTCATGATTAATTCATTCATGAGAGCCCAGATCCCTGATGACCCAGTCACCTCTGAAAGGTTCTACCTCTCAGTACTGCCACATTGCGGATTAAGTTTTAACATGAGTTTTAGAGGGGACAGATACTCAAATCATAGCATGTAGATTTATAGTTAATTTTTATGCTTTTGTCTTTTAAATCCTATAAAAGAATTAAGGTGGAGTTACTCACCAGAATTAAAATAATGTTTTTATATTTGTCCATATATTTACCTTTACCAGAGAACTTTATATTTTCCTATGGCTTAAAGTTACTATCTAGCATCCTTTAATTTCAGCTTGAAGGACTGCCATTAGCATTTCTTCCAGGTGAGGTCTAGTGGTAATGAACTCTCTCAGCTTTTGTGAATGTTTTAATTTTCCCTTTTACAGGTGCATGCCATCATGCCCAGCTAATTCTTGTATTTTTAGTAGAGACGGGGTTTTGCTATGTTGGCCAGGCTGGTCTGGAACTCCTGACCTCAGGTAATCCTCCTGCCTTGGCCTCCCAAAGTGCTGGGATTACAGGTGTGAGCCACTGTGCACCTTGTATCTTTCTTTGTCTGTTCGAGGATCTGAGATACTATTTTAAAGTCCTTTGGAAGTATAGTTTGTAATCGGATTTTTAGTAAGAGGGTTATTTTTTTTTTCTCTTTGTGTGCATTCTTCTCTACCTGCTCTTTTTGTGGTTGTTTCTGCTTTGTCCTTTATGGCATCTTCTTTAGAAGGAAATCTTATATTGGAAGCTCTGGGTTCTTATTCTTCAGGGTTATTGGGAAAAATCTCAAGAACCAGTCCCTGAACCAGTGGGTGGCTTGACCAGGTCATTTTTGTTTTATTGCCTGTAATCTGTCCATTTGTGTTCCTTCAGCCTTTGGCTATGGTCACAACGTTTATTGCCTTCTTTCACTAGTAGGAGAGCGCTGCTCCAACCCCTTACTTCACAAAATGATTCTGACTTTTGTTCCCACTTCTTGTGCTATGAGTTGATTTCAGTCCCTATTATTGGGGTTGATTTTTAACTGTCTCAACCAGTAAGATTTAAAAATAGACAACTTGCTTGTTTCTGTTTGCTGCTTTTACCTCTATGGGTAAAGGAGGTTAAGGAACTGCTGTGGTTTATGCAAAAGTATGCTGTGTCCTAACTGAGTAACCTTAAGGATAATAGCTTGTATAATGGTTGTGAAATCAAAATGTCGTATATGTGAAAGGGCTTTATAAACTGGGAAGTATGGTCTAAATATTAGTTTATTTTTGTTGTATAATCATAGTGATTGTGTTATTACTCTATTTAAGCCTGCTTTTGATTTTCAGATTGTTCCATTGACCTGTCATGTATGGCAACAGATAGTATATCAAGGCAATAGTAGAACACAAATTTCTGATACTAATGTGGTCTGTTTGGAAACAACAGCTCAGCGGGGTTCTGGGGATGATCAGGTATGTCTTCTGTAACTGGCTAACTTTTTTTTTTTGATAAGCAGCACAAGAAATTCTGATTTAGCTATGAAGAATGGAAAAATAAATTAATATTCATTAATATTATGTTTTCTTGTCTTTTTTTTTTTTTTTTTTTTTTTTTTAAGACAGGGTCTCACTCTGTCACCCAGGCTGGAGGGCAGTGGCATGATCATAGCTTACTGCACCCTCCAACTTCTAGGATCAAGTGATCCTCCTGCCTGAGCCTCTTGAGTAGCTGGGACTACAGACATATACCATCAAACCCACCTAATTATTTTTAAAAAATTTTTTATAGATGGAGTCTCGCTTTGTTGCCCAGGCTGGTCTTGAGCTCTTGGCCTCAAATGATCCTTCGCCTTGGCCTCCCAAAGTGCTAGGATTACAGGAGTGAGCCACCACTCTTGGCCAAATATTCTATTTTTCTAATAGATTGTTGTAAACTTTATGTATATGTAGAAGAGCAGTTCACTTTTTTTGAAGGCGGGTCTCAGGACTCTTATTTTTATTTTTAGTTTAAAAATTTTTTATAGAGATGGGAGTCTCTGTGTTTACTGGGCTGGTCTCTCATTCCTGGCCTTAAGTGATCCTCTTGCCTCGGCCTCCTAAAACTATGAGATTACAGGCATGAGCCACTGTGCCTGTCCTCAGGACTCTTTATATTCTTCACAAGTATTCTTAAGAGCTTTTGTTTATGTGGATTATCTATATAGATATTTAGCATACAAGAAATTAAAACATTTAAAACTATTTTAAAATTTATTTTGAAAGAACAAACCTATTACATATTACCATAAATAGTATATTTTAAAGTAAAAAATGACTGTTTTCCAAAACAAAAAAATTAGTTGGAAGAATAGCATTGTTTAAATTCCGGCTTACTAGAACTCAGTTGGTATATTATTCAGGGTTCTCCAGAGAAACAGAACCAATAGGTTGGAGATAGATACATCTATCTATTTATACACATCTGTGTGTATGTGTATATATATATCTTTATTGATATTTATTATATAGAATTGGCTTATGTGATCATGAAGACTGAGAAGTCCCAAGATCTGCAAGCTGGAGCCCCAGGAGGGCTGATGGTATAGTTCCAATTCAAGTCCAAAGGCTTGAGAACCAGGAGCACCAGTGATGTAAGTTTTGATCTGAATCTGCAGGTAGAATACCCTCCAGCTGGAAGACCATCAGGCAGAGAGAACACATTCTCTCTTGCTCAGCCTTTTGTTGTATTTAGGCCTTCAAGGTACTGGATCAGGCCTACCCACATTGGAGAGGGTAACCTGCTTTACTTAGTTTCCAGATTCAAATGTTAATCTCATTCATACACACCTCACAGGCCAGGAACAGTGGCTAACGCCTGTAATCCCAGCACTTTGGGAGGCTGAGGTGGGTGGATCACCTGAGGTCAGGAGTTCAAGACCAGCCTGGCCAACATAGTGAAACACTGTCTCTACTAAAAATACAAAAATTAGCCAGGCGTGGTGGTGCACACCTGTAATTGCAGCTACTTGGGAGGCTGAGGCAAGAGAATCGCTTGAACCCAGGAGGTGGAGGTTGCAGTGAGCTGAGGTTGCGCCACTGCACTCCATCCTGGGCGATGGAGCAAGACTTGTCTCAAAAAAAAGCAAAAAAACCCAAGAAAACAAAACAAAAAATACCACACACATACACACACCTCACAGACGTATCCAAAATTGTGTTTAACCAAGTATCTGGACACTCCATGATCCAGTCATTTTGATACATAAATTACCTATCATAGCTGGATTCTCAGTCTGCTCTGCATTTCATTTGTTGGGATGTATTGTTTTGGTTGAAGTATATGAAGACAATCTTGCCTTACATAGATGAAAAAGGAGTTAGGGAAAGGAGGCTGTCATTCAGTCCCTGAAAGGGTGTCAGTGACCCTCAGGGATTTTTGGACTACACTTTGAGAACCACTTTTCTAGAACATAGTTATAAACTTTGAAGAAATGAAACGATCATGAGCAGATAGGAAAAAAGCTCATGTAGAGTTATTGGAGGAAAAATGTTATTAGTGTTACTAATAATGGTTAAATATTTAAGGTTGATTAATAACTTGAGTATCAGATTTCTCCTATTACCTTCAGTTTTCTTTAAATTGCAGTGATTACCTGTTAGATGCAAGATATGGAGGAAGGGAGATACACTATCACTGAGGCAAAGTAGTTAAGACAATCCCTGACCATAAAAAACATAGTACCTGGGGCCATTAAATGGAAGAGGATTGTTTTGGGTCGAATTGTGCCCTCCCAAATTATATGTTGCAGTCCTAATCCCCAATACCTCAGAATGTGACCTTATTGGTGATTGCAGGTGTAATTATTTAAGCTCACACTGGAGTAGGGTTTGCTCTTAATCCAATCTAACTGGTGTCCTTATGAAAGAGGAAAGCACCATGTGAGGAGAAAAACATACAAGGAGAAGATGGCCGTGTGAAGATGGAGGCAGAAATTGGAATTATGCTGCCACATCCAGGGAATGCCTGGGGCTTCCAGAAGGTAGAAGTAGCAAGGAAGGACCCTCCCCTAGGGGCTTCAGAGGGAGCATGACCCTGCCAACACCTTGATTTCAGACTTCTGGCCTCCAGAACTGCGAGATAATAAATTTCTGTTGTTTTAAGCCACTTAGTTTGTGTCACTTTGTTATAGCAGCCCTAGGAAACTAATACCGGGTCATATTTCTAAATAATATTCTCTGAGGGCATATTTTTGGTAGAGCACAGTCCAAAAATTGATGTCTTCCTTTTTTTCCTGTTTCACACAATACGAACCATGATGGACCCTAAAGCACTTCATTTCATCCTTTACGCCTGGGTTCGTCAGAATAGCTGGAATATTATGCCGCTTTCTAGTTCACTTCCTTCTTATTCTTTCGTCGTTCATCTTTGTTACTGTCATCTGAGTTACCTTTATTTATTCATGGAAAACTAGCTCTTGCTACATTGTCTTCCTCTCTTTTATTGGTTTCTTTCACTTCAGCATACATTTCCCATTCAGTGCCTGAAGTTCTCATATATTTCATCTAATCTCCAGTGATCTTTACTTCCGTACCTCCTTCCAGTCTTCTCCTACCTGTATGTAGTTACTCATCCCATGATCACAGTCTATCTAGACTTTGTCATCACCAGCTACTTTACTACAAATGTCTCGTCCTCTCTTCCCTTCCGGCTACTGCTTCGGTCAATATTCTGCTCCCTGTTACAGTGAAATTTTCAAGAGTTGTCTATACATTTTCTGTTTCTGTTTCCTGATATCCTATGCTCATTTTTAAAAAGTCAGGTTTATTGTAGGTATAGGTTAAACATATCAAAATTTACTCTCTTAGGTGTACAGTTTGTCAAGTGAGCTTTGACATACGTATACAGTCATGCAGTCACCACCACATTTGAGATAGACAGCACTGCCTTCACAAAAAGGAACGTCACAAAAAGTTCCTGTGTGCCCCTTTGTAGTCAGTCACTTCCCCAACTCCTAGTCCCTGGCAACTACTTATCCAATTTCTTTCTCTTTAGTTTTACCTTTTCAGAATAATACGGTGTGTAGACTTTTGAATTTGACTTCTTTCACTTGGCTTAGCTTTTGAGATTTATCCATGTTGTTGCATGTATCAATAATTTGTCCACTTTAATTTTTATTACTGAGTAGTATTCCATTTGTGTGTAGGTTTTTCGGTAGACATACTGCTTCATTTCTCTTGGCAAATACCTAGGAATGGCTGGACGTGGTGGCTCACGCCTGTAATCCCAGCACTTTGGGAGGCCGAAGTGGGTGGATCACTTGAGGTCAGGAGTTTGAGACCAGCCTGGCCAATATGGTGTAGTAGAAACCCCGTCTCTACTAAAAATATAAAAATTAGCCAGGTGTGGTGGCACATGTCTGTAATCCCAGCTACTCGGGAGGCTGAGGCAGGAGAATCGCTTGAACCTGGGAGGCAGAGGTTGCAGTGAGTCAGGATGGCGCCAGTGCACTCTGGCCTGGGTGACAGAATGAGACTCTGTCTCAAAAACAAAAAACAAAAAACAAAACCCTAGGAATGGGTTTGTTGAGTGATAAGGTAATTGTATGTTTAACTTTATAAGAAAGTACCAAACTGTTTTTCCAAAGTGGCTGTACCATTTTGTATCCCAGTAGTATATGAGAGTTCTGATTGCCCTGCATTCTTGGCAGCTGTTGGTATCATCAGTTTTTTCTTTTTTTCTTTTTTTTTTTTAATTTTAGACACCCTAGGAGATGTATTATTGGTGTCTCACTGTGATTTTAACATTCATTTCTCTAATGACTAATGATATATAGCATCTTTTTGTGTGCTTATTTGCCCTCCATGTTTCTTCTTCAGTGAGAGATCTGTTAAAATCTCTGCCTGATTTTTTGTGGCTGGTTTGTTTCATTTTTTGAGCTTTGGGAGTTCTTCATAGCTCTAGATGCAAGTCCTTTATCAGTTGTTTCTTTTGCAGAGACAGTCTGTGGCATGTTTTTGTATTCTCCTGTCTTTGAAAGGCAGAAGTTTTAATTTTGATGAAACTTGTTTATTGATTTTTTTTCCTTTTTTGGTTTATATTTCTTGTGTACTATCTGAGAAATCTTGGCCTAATCCTATGTCACTGAGATTTTTCTTCTATGTTTTCTTCTAGACCAGGGTTTCTCAGCCTTGGCACTATTGACATTTTGGGTTGAATAATTCTTCATAGTGGGGGTCTGTCCTGTGTGTCCTAAAATGTTTAACAGCATTCCTGGCCTCTTCCCACTAGATACCAGTAATAGTCCCCCAATTTGTAACCATCCGGAATGCTTTCTGACATTGCCAAATGTTCCATGGTTGAAGGGAGAGGCGTGTCAAAATCTCTCCCAACTGAGAACCGCTTTTTCAGAAGTTTTGTAGTTTTACGTTTTACATTTATGTCTAAGATCCATTTTGAGTTGGTTTTTGTATATGGTGTGAAGGAAGCATCCAAGCTGTATTTTCTTACATATGAATATGTAATTGTTATTCTAGCACCATTTGCTATCTTTTTTTCCAGTGGATTTCATGACATCTTTGTAAAAAAATTAATTGACCTTGTATATGTGGGTCTATTTCTGCACACTATTCCATTGATTTACATATGTATCCTCATGCCAATATTACACTCTTAATAACTGTACTGTCTTAAAATCAGGTTGTGTGATTTTTCCCACTTTGTTCCTCTTTTTAAAAATTGATTATTTCAGATTCTTGGAATTTCTATATAAATTTTAGAATTAGCTCGCCCAATTTATATTTTAAAAGCCTGCTGGAATTTTTTATTAAGATTTCATTGAGTCTATAAATCAATTTGAAAATAATTTTGACATCTTAACAATATTGAGTTTTCTAATCCATAAACATGACAGTTCTCTTAGTTTATTATTTCTCTTTAATGTCTTCATCAATGTTTTGCTGTCTTCAGTGTGCCAATCTTACACGTTTTGTTAGACTTACTGGTATTTTTAGAAATTTCTATTTCCTATTATTCATTATAAGTGTATAGAAATATAATTGACTTTTTATATTGACCTTGTGTCCTATTACCTTGCTAATCTCACTTACTAGTTTTAGTAGCTTTTTTAAAAAAATATTTCCTTTAGGACTTTATATGCAGAGTTATATTAACTATGCTTTGTTTTTTACTTTTAAATAGATATGTCATTTCTTTTTTTCCGTTTTTTTTTTTTTTTGTTTTTTTTTTGCTTTATTACACTGGCTAGGATCTGCCTATTCTTCTACTTGATCTACTTTGTGTTCTGACCCCAATTCTTTGAAAGGAAGTATCACCAGCAATATTTATGTAGCTGAATACAGTGAATACTTTTCTGTCCTCCTCTTAGGTACGATAAATAGCATTTGACACTATTATTAATCATTACATAACTTCTTTAAATTATTTCCTTTCTTGGGTTCTTCTGGTTTTTTTTCTACTCATCTGGCTGTTCTCTCTCAGTATCCTTTGCTGCTTTATCTTCCTTTGTTAAACCTTAGAATCAGAATTTGTAAGCTGTGGACCCAAGTATGACTCAAATGTGGTTTTCAAAAACCATTTTTTTTGGCATAATGTTTTAACACTTTTGAAATAGAATACTTTAAAGTGAACATGCATAGTTAGCCACAAATCCCATTACTCTCCAATTCCAGGTTGGATTACTTCATTTGTCTTACCCCCATACCCCTATACACATTTAGTTTTCAACCTCTGCTTGAAACGCTGGAATGTTCGCGGTCTCATCCAGATCCAGGACTTTAAATACATCTGTATACTGATAAATCCCAAAGATGTATCTCAAACTTTTTTTCTCCCTCAAAATTTGTTTGTATTTGTCAGAATGCTTATATGTTGTCCCTCCCCACATCTGTCAAAAATATTTAGAGATTTGTTGGCCTTTTTATATTGATTTAAAAGGTATAACACAAAGAATATTTGATGATTGAAATGTATCAAGAAAATACATAATGCAGAAAGTTAAAAAAGGTTGAACAGAGGTTGTTTTAAAAATTCAGTTTATAATGGGAAATTATAAGAATATGTTTGCATAGGAGAGGAATGATTCAGTAATGAGAGAAAAATGGGTGAAGGAAAGTGGGAGAATCACATAGGAAGGAAATCACTGAAAAAAATTTGAATGAGATAGGAAGGCCTTTGAGAGGCAGAGTGACTTTTTTTTATTTTCAAGTCATAAGATAGAAATCTGGTAATGGGGATTGTAGATCTGGTGGTTGAAGACAAGGGAGTTCCTCTCTCCTGCTCTACAATTATTGAAGGTCATCAGTTGAAAATTAGGAGCGTTCAATAGTTCTGAGGAGGGAAGGTATGAAATCTCAACTCACCAGGAAAATGTAGTAGGATTTCCAGGCAATATTGAGTGCCCTTCAGGTTTAGTGACATCAATTTAAAGAAAAGCCAGTCAGTTTGGGAGTGTGATTTCTCCAGCAACGTGCTGCTGATTGGATTCATGCAAGGAGACGGTTCCATCAGTGTTAGCTTTTGCTGAGCAAATAGGATAATGGGAGAAAAACGCAAGAAAGTTAAGGGTGTTTGCAAGGCAGTGATTATAAGGATGGCTCTGAACTCTCAGAGGGGCAAAGAAGGAAATACAGATAAGAAAGGAATAAAGAAAAGTATAAATGTGATAGGATAGTTGTCTCCGTGAAGTTAAAAAATTATTGCAGTAGAGGAACTAGAGAGTAAGTGATCTGTGGAGGTCAGAGGATGGACAGAAAGACTAATGGATACATCTGTCACTATTAGAGAGGAGTGAACTATGGGATACAGGCTCAAACCATGGTCAGAGAGGCTAAGAGATGACTCGGGACCAGTGATTTTTGCTTTAGTGAGTCACAAGATGATTGGAATTCTGCTTTAAAACCTTTTGTTGGCTCACTAACCTGTCCCCTATAGAAAGGAGTGCCCTCTAAAGAAAAAATGTAAAATTAATCATTCTCATATTCCTTTTATTTTCAAGTATCAGAAAGGTGAAAAGCATGTTTCCAGTAGCAATTTGATGTTATAGATCTGATTAATTTATTCAGTGTAGAAGGGATTGAGGTATTTTGGAATGTCAAAAGTCTGCTATTCCATAAATGTAGCATTAATATTCTAGAATATTTCTCTCCACATTTTTTTCTTTGCATGTATTTGTATAACTGATATTATGTAGTGGATAGTGGGTATCTTTTTTCTTAAACTTACTATATGAACATTTTGTTAATGAATTTTAAATATTAGAAATGTCTCTTCAAAGACAAAAGTCTTGCTGGAAAATGTTTGCGAAAATATTTGTAAATTGTAATACATCTTCTTTTTATGGATTCTGTACCACCCGGGAATTAAAAGATACCTATATTCTCTTAGAAACATTTGAGTTGATCAAGGAAGAAGAGTCCAGTAGTGGAATACTTACAAAATAATGAAAATACATTATATGTCTAAAGTTGCTGTCAATATAATGCCACTTTCTCATGTTTTTATTTAAATAAATAAAGCAAATTGAATGAATTATTTAACCAAAGATTTTACATAAAGACTCAAAAACTTGTAATCCCAGCACTTTGGGAGGCCAAGACAGGGGAATCGCTTGAGTCTAGGAGGTCCAGACCAGCCTGGGCAACATAGTGAGACCCCTGTCTCTACAAAAATTTTTAAAAAATTAACTGAGTGCCTGCCAGTAGTCCCAGCTACTCAGGATACTGAGGATGACAGGATCACTTGAGCCTGGAGGCAGAGGTTGCAGTGAGCTGAGATTGTGCCACTGTATTCTGGCCTGGTTAACAGAGCAAAAGCCTGTCTCACACACACAAAAAAAGAAAAACTGCAAATAGAGGAAACGTGGTAAAGAGAAAAACAAGTTATAAAATATAATACAGTTGTTAAATTCAAGAAATAGAGAAAAAATAGATATATTCCTAGTAAATAGAGTTGCGAAAAAAATCTCAATGAAATAGACTTTCTACAAAACTATGAGTATTTCATAGAGGTAGACTAGGATTACTGAGGAGGAAATTGAGAAAGTTATGTTAGTACCAGCTATCAAAAAGATTTTTGGAACTAATAGATTTGCTGATAAATCTTTTACATTTTTAAAGAAAATTGAAGTTGCTTAAATAAATACAGAACAACGTTATGAAACAAGAAAATGAGGGCATTCTAAAATACTGATTAATCTTAGTTGTGACCATATATGTGTGAAAATGTTAAAGAATATGCTAGCAAACATTTAAACGTCTGATCTACCACTACTGTGTAAGAAATGTGAACATGTTTCAATATAAAGAAATTTTGTGACTTGGGAGGCTGAGGTGGGAGGATTAAGCGCTTTAGCCCAGAGTTTGAGTCCATCCTGGGCAACATAGCAAGAACCTGTCTAAAAAAAAAAAAATTATTGCTATCCTTTATCAGGTTTAATTGGGGAAAATGATGCTATAACATAGTTTGAGCTAATTTAGTGTTCATTTCTAATCAAATTATTTGAAAATGAAAATACTTTCATATCATGATAGACTATACTTAATTATTAACTAATATTAAATTCAAAAGGAAAATACCTTTTAAACTTGTCACCATTAGTATTTAATACGACTTTAATTCAGCATTGTTATTTAGTGTGATCTGTAGATTGGTGCCAGTCCATGATTTGCTTGTTACTGGTCTGTCAAGAGGTAAGTATAGAAATTGAGAGGAAGTGTTTAGAAACTTTTATAGTAGTTGGATAGAGTAATTTTATCTTTTTTTAGACCTAGAAATCAAACATTTGGGCTTGTGTTTTATATCTTGGGCTTATAGTAAGACTTTTAATTTCATTTTTCTAGTTATTTTTACTGGTTTTAAAAATTAGCTTATTTCTCATTAATTTTTGTTAGCATTTTAGTAAAGTGTCAGTATGTGATGACTTGGAAGTAGGAAAAACTGGTTCTTCCCTATAGGTAGTTTGAGAAGCAGTTCTCTGGATCTTGCCACTAATTTAAGAGTAAATATTTGAAGGAGACAAGTGTATCACATTCATGGGTGATATGATAATGTTATATATACTGAGAAGAGCCAGGGATCGTTTAGAAACTAGTAGAGCTAATAAAAATTCAGTCAAGTGAATTCCCAAGCTAAAGCTGAAGTGAATGCTTCAGTAGGTCCCATGAATCGGCCCAGCCCTTGCGTGCACCAAGTTTGGCCCCTCTAGCATCGCCGCCACGAAGAAAGTGGCTCAACAGCTTTGGCTGAAGGCCCGGCTCAACTGTGTAAAAATTTCCCAGGCAGCTGCAGACTTGAAACAATTCTGTCTGCAGATTGCTTAACATGACTCTCTGCTGACTGGAGTATCTTCAAGTACAAATTCCTTCATACCCCAGAAAGTCTGTTCCTTTTTGTAGTAAAATGAATCTTTCAGAGGTTTCCCAAGCCACTTCTCATGATACAGTGAATATTCAAAAGAGAGCTACATTTGAAGCCTGTACAAAAGCTTATCCCCGGAACACATGTGCCATAATATACAAACTTCTACTTTTGTCAGTCCTTAATATCTACCTCTCTGAATTTTCATGAATTTCTATTTCACAAGGGTAATTGTTTTATATACACTGGCAGCGGCGTACAATACAACTTAGTATAAAAGGTTTTTTTGTGTTAAAAAAAGATGTGTAGTAATGGGAAGAGGTCTAAAATGTAGTTAATATTGTGAGAACAACAGCTTTACATTTTCTATACTTTGATGAGAATGTCATTAAATAGGAAGCTATATAATACATGAGTGGACATTTTCATCTAAATATTAATATGTATGGTAACTCAGTTAATGACTTAGCATGTTTTCCTTTAACATTTTTCTAGAAAACAGAATCTTGGCATTGTCTTCCTCAAGAAATGGACTCTTCCCAAACCTTGGATACATCCCAGACTAGGTTTAATGTGAGAACGGAAGATACTGAAGTGACAGACTTCCCCTCTCTGGAGGAGGGCATATTGACGCAATCAGAAAATCAAGTAAAGGAACCCAACAGAGATCTCTTCTGTTCTCCACTGCTAGGTAATGCCTGTTTATTTTAACTAGTAGTAATACCTCACATTTGTAAGTTTTGCGGGGACTGCAAGTCTTGTAACTTTCCCCTTTTTGAGTTAAGGAGCTCTGTAGAGACCTACTCAGAGGGATTAGCTTATTTCTGTTTTGTTTGTTTGTTTGTTTTTTACTGGCTAGCTGATCTAATTATATTAAGTGTGCAGTTGCCTCTCATTTTATCACTTCCCGTTGCTCACAGAAGGCAGAAAGGTGATAACTGTCTACTGTGTGTGCCTCCTCAGTCTTGAATTTGCAGAGTTTTTGGGATGAATAGTATACTTTGGTTATCTCAGCAATGGAGACTCCATGATCCCCCACAAAAAACAAAAAACAAATGTTCATATTTACCTTTTTGATTTTTAGAATTAATTAAGGCATATGTTATTATCCTTAGCTTTCAAACCAAAAATTGAGATAAAGAGGTTGAGTGGCTTGTCTGAGGTAGATCTTGCTGCTTTCCTCTGTTTAGTATGGAACTGATTTATTAGCTCTTTATAAAAGATAAACTTTAAGTACTTTTAAAATCATTAAGGGATTCAATTATGAAGATGGTTTTATAGTTTTGTAGAGAAGCATGAATAGAACTTAATTCAGCAAGTTCTTTGCCAACATAAACTAATGCTATCCAAATCAAGGTATTAGTGCCAACGTTTTCTATGATGTGGATTATTAAAGTCAATTTTAGGTCCACATTTTAAGAAAGGTTGACAAAATTAGAGTACCTTTGTGGGAGGAGAGGACTATCTTTTGATAGACAAAAGAGAAGACTTTGCTATGGTCAAATATTTGAAGGGCTGTTATGCTAAAAAGGAAGCAACTTATTTTTTATTCATTCATGTAACAAATATCTAAGTGCCTCCTATGTGTTTGATGCTAGGGGTATATAGATGAAAGCTACCTCCTCTTCTGGGAAGGCAATCCAGTAAACAGAAAATAACAGTACCATGGGATTTGTATTATAATGGTGTAGAGCAGGAGTCTGCAAACTATAGCTTACAGGCCAAGTCTTGATTTTGTACTGTCCATCTGCTGAGAATGATTTTTGCATTTTTAAAGGATTGTAAAAACAAACAACAGTAGTATGTATGACCAACAAAACCGAAAATATTTACCATCTGACCCTTTATTAAAAAAGGTTTGCTAACTCCTAGAGTTTAAAATGGATACATAACTTAAAGGGAAGCTATTTTTCAAATTGATGTAAAAAAGAGCTTTCTAATAGAGCCATTTAATACTAAAAAAGGCTATATAACAACAACAAAAAGTGAGCTTCATGTCACTGCAAAATGTCTAGCAAAATTCTGTATTAGGATTTTAGCACTGGGGAGGAGATTGTACTTCGTGACCTAAAATGTTTTCTAATGTAAAGTTTTATAACTCTGGCTTCTCATTTACTATAGTTAGGGCAGAACATTTTAAATTATTGGAGTAGATTCCTGGATCTCATAGGCAGAGGAAATTTTATCATTGCTGTTTTGTTACGCATAAGTACTAACATTGTGATAAATAGGCTCTCGCCAATGGCAAATGTAATTGATGATGGCTGGTGCCAGAATGGTTAGATACCTCAAAAAAGAGGGATGCAAGCCAGTAACAGATATCCACACTTGAGGAAACAAGAAGCAGTTGAAAGCTGTAAGAAAAAGGCATGGCAAGTAAAATACACCACCTTCCCATCACACACACACAGATAATGTTGTACACTTGAGAATCATTAACTCTTCAGCTTTGGCCTGCTCCTTTAGCAAATACATTTGCCTATTTATGTGATTTAACTGTCCAACTCCACCCTGAGATATTCTTAAATATTTAAGGAGATGCTGAAATGCTGCTTGTAACTTACTTGTTACTTACTATTCCTTACTTATACTTAAATAGCTATTTTAGGTACTGAGGATTTCTGTAGGTTCTGAAACCTAGTTAGGGTTAACTCTAATTTTTTTTGAGAAAAGACTGTCAGATTCTTTAAATACTCAGCCTGCAGTTAACTGGAAATAGTAAATTTGCTTTACTTGCCCAAAGGTCCCCCTTGTAGCATCAGCTCTAGTGTATTTGGGGACTTTGTTAAAAACTCTTCATGAGTTTTAGAGGGGTGAAGGACTGTTACGGAGGTTTAAGACTGCTTCTCTGTGCCAAGACCAAAGAGGAACTGTACCAATTGTTCCTTGGTGGCAAAGGTTATTGTTACATATCAGTTTTTCATTTTTAATTAATTCATTCAGTAAATAAATAACTCTCTTTTGAGTACCTTTTAAGTGTAGCAGGTACTTTGCTAGGCACTGAGGATATAGCTATGGATAAAGTAGACACAGTTGACAATTTAGATGGGAAGTGGATAGACTGAAGATTAAAACAAGAGGGTGATGAATTATATGGAAGGTATGCAGGGTATATAAGCAGTGACAGTATGTGTTTTGACTAAGTAAAGGACAGATGACAACATGGTGAGCTCTGTGAACTCTAGATTTGCAGTAATTTCAGGGGGAACAGTAATGTGAGAGAGGAGTCCTCACTTTGTACACAGTGTTGCAGGCATTCTGAAATCAAGAAAGTATACTGATTAAAATAAGAATGATTTAAGTCAACATTCAGGAAATCACAAGAATTTTTTTTTCATTAAAGCAGCAGTTCAAACTTTTTGGGTAACAGGATTCTTTTACACTTTTAAAAATTACTGACAACTCCAAAGAGCTTTTGTTTATTTGGGTTATTGATATTTCCCACATTAGAAATTAAAACTGAAACATTTAAAATGTATTTATTAATTCATTGAAAAAGTACATATTTTATAAAAAATAACTTTTCCAATACAAAAATGTTTAGAAGTATGGCCATGTTTTACTTAAACAATTCTATAATGTCTGACATAATAGAAAACATCAAGACTCTCATGTCTGTTTCTGTATTCAATCTGTTGCTGTATCATATATTCTGTAGCTTCTGGAAAATGTCACTGTATCTTTTTGAGAGAATGGGAGTGAATAAGGCATATGATATCTTAATATTATTTTGAATAAAATTTTGACATTAGGTACCCCCTAAGAGTGTCTTAGGGCCCAGGAGCTCCTGTGCTATGCTTTGACATAACGGGTGTAGTCTATATTATGTAAGATGGGAAGAAACACTCATAATAGTTAAGAGCGTTTGCTAAAAGTTGAAATGCTTGGGTTCAAATCTCACTCTGGCATTTCAGCTACTTGAATGTGGACAAGTTACTTAATGCTTTGTAAGTTTTGTAATCATGTTTCCTCACCTATAAGATATATATAATAATACCTATCTTTCAAGGTTGTCATGAGGATTAAATGAAATATTGTGTGTTAAGCACCTGGACCTTGTCAGACTCTCAATAAATGGTAGCTGCTACTGCTGTTGCTTTTATATTATTATTCTAATGCTTGTAGAATTCTCCATATGGCAGCATATGTAGGTGCTTTAAAGTATTATATACGTAAGTAAATAATCAATTTTCAGCATTACCCAGCATTTAATATTTGAAACTTTACAGTCATACAAGATAGCTTTGCTTCTCCTGATTTGCCTTTGCTGACCTGTTTGACACAAGACCAAGAATTTGCGCCTGATTCTTTATTTCATCAAAGTGAACTAAGTTTTGCACCTCTGAGGTAGGATGATTTATTTGCATGTAACCTTTCTCACTTCTTGTTCTATGTTTTTACTAATATTAGTGACTTCAGGCTAAGGTGGGACTTTGAGGTGGGGCTTAGATACTCTTAGGACACGCCCTGAAGGTAACAAAGTCCTGTACTAAGACTTGATGCATATTAATTTGGCAGAGTAACGTATGTGTAGAGATGAACCAGATGACAGTAGTTTATTTAAAAATAATTCCTAATATATTCAGGCATTTCAGGCATATTTTAATTTAGAAGACACACTGGATTTTCCTTCTTATAAACCTCCCCATCTGCTGCCCATCATCTCTCTCCTCCCTCTCACCCTTATTCTGCAAAAAGCATTTATTTCTTGTTCACTAACTTGTTTGGCACTCTCATTTTGTTCAGCTGTTATTGAATGAGACTAGTTAGCTCTCCTTACCTTATAGGAGGTGTCAATATGAAGTAAGAAGATTTTTATGAACAGACATATCCAAATGAACAGATACTCCAAATTCATGTCCTTTAGAATAGTCATAATGGGAGAAAAGTCTGGAATTTTCAAAACATATTTGGAATTATTCAAGAATATGTTTTCTTCTTTTAGAATTGAAAACCCACCTTAAATTAAAAACTATAGATGTTTAGAAAGTAAAAAGTAACCTCTGTCCTTATACTATATATTTACCTGATATCACTTTTATGAAAAGTGATCTATACACATTAGATCATCAACTAATGATTAAGTTACTGTTGTGTTTTGGGAATAGATCACTTCTTAAGTGGTTTCTTTCTCTTTCTCTTTTTGTTTGTTTGCTTTTTTTTTTCTTTAGATGGAGTCTTGCTCTGTTGCCCAGGCTGGAGTGCAGTGGTGCCATCATGGCTCACTGTGACCTCTAACTTCTGGGCTCAAGCAATCCTCCTGCCTTAGCCTCCACAGCAGCTAGTACTACAGGCATGTGCCACCATGCCCAGCCAATTTTTAATTTTTCTGTAGAGATAGGGTCTTGCCGTATTGCCAAGGCTTGTCTTGAACTCCTGGCTTTAGGTGATCCTCCTGCCTCAGCCTCCCAGAGTGCTGGGATCATAGGTGTGAGCCACTGTGCCTGGCCTTGCATGGTTTCAAGAGCACAATAAATGATGACTAGTAAAAAAGTTAACGCAGGTTAAATGAAAAATCATGGTAGGCGTCATTATGAAAATCACATTCTGTGTCTATTGTTTTAGGAGAAGTCTGAGATAATATCAGGGTTATAGGGTGGTAGTTCACCTTTTAGTTAAAAAGAATTTGCTTTACTCAGTCATTAGCCATCTTAGAAGAGTCTGAAATTAGGAGAGCTGTGTTTTTCAATACACTTTTCAAATAAACTTGATTTCAGTGACATATGTATTTTTGTGTTAGTACTTAAAAATTAAATGTTTTTAATGTTATTTATTTATTTATTTTTAACTATATATTTTCAGGGGAATTCCTGATAAGTCTGAAGATACTGAATGGTCTTCTCGACCATCGGAAGTTAGTGAAGCTTTATTCCAGGCTACTGCAGAAGTAGCTTCAGACTTAGCAAGCAGTCGCTTTAGTGTATCTCAGCACCCGCTTATAGGCAGCACAGCTGTTGGGTCTCAGTGCCCTTTTTTACCTTCTGAACAAGGGAATAATGAAGAGACTATTTCGTCTGTTGATGAACTGAAAATTCCCAAAGACTGTGATCGTTATGATGATCTTTGTTCATATATGTCATGGAAGACACGAAAAGATACACAGTGGCCTGAAAACAATTTAGCTGATAAAGATCAAGTTTCAGTTGCAACTTCATTTGACATAACTGATGAAAACATAGCTACTAAAAGAAGTGACCATTTTGATGCTGCTCGTTCATATGGGCAGTATTGGACACAGGAAGATTCATCTAAGCAGGCAGAAACATATTTAACCAGTAAGTACCCTGATTCTTTTTCAGATTCATCTGACACAATTGATAAAAATAAAATTCCCAAGGGAAGTAACAATTTTAGTGTCCCCTTTTCCTATGTGCCATGGAACAAAGAGGGAACTTTGCACCACCCAGAAACGTGTGTAATCAGTAAGGACTGTTTTTCCTTTCCATGTGAAGTTGCTGCTCATCATCATCATCATAAAATGTCATATTCTTTCTTGTGTTGTTTGTTGGAAAGAAGAGGAAAAGGGGTTCCCTTGACTTCTGATAGTCATTATTTTGAGAATGTTTATTTAAGGGCTCCAGCTGAGATTGAGGTGAAACAAAAGATGGATTCTTTGGAGGGTTATGAAAGAAATGAAGAAGGTTTACAGAAAGAATCATCTCAATGTTTTGAACTAACGGAGACTAGAAATAATTTAGTATCTTCAGAAGTGCAACCCAGATTCTTAGAAATACAGTATATTAGGAATGTTATAGCTCCTGATAATTCTGTAAAAGTTTCAGAAGCACATGTACTCTCCAGGGGACATAATACCTCTAAAATGGAGGCTTCTGGTTGGATTGTTATATCCAACTTGGATGAGATATCAGAACAACTGTATTTTCAAGAGGAAAGAAACCAAAAGGGAACTTCTCTTTTTGGTGAGAAAAATATTGATGCTGCTGAAAATATAGCCTTTGAGGCAGTTATTGCCTCTATTGAGCCTTCTAAGAAAGAGAGTACAGTAAATGAAATCCAAGCTGACATCAATAAATATTTAACAGATGACAGCCGAGAGAGAGCCAAAAAATCCAGATCTTTCTCCATTAAATTATAATGATGAAACCTCTTTATTTGATAGGCTTAAACATCCATGCTATCAGTCTACTCCTGGGGTGTTTGAACCAGCAGCTTCAAAACCATTGTTGCATAAAAAGGGTAATAATGATAGCTTCCTATACTGGCATCCAAATTTAAAATTACCCCCTAATGCTCTTCAGAAAATGTTCATTAAGCCACTTTGTGTTATTCCAGAGCTTAAGTCATCTGCTTCTTTGAGTGAAAAATCTTACAACCAGGCTGTTGGTCTTGGCAAAACACAGTCAGCTTTATTTCAGTGTGATATAGGCAATGAACCATTTCTTCCCTTTGGGAAGATAAAGTCTGTTCCTTCTCTTGACCTTGCAGAGAAGGTAGGATCTTCAGATGTTATTTATCATGTGAAAGTATTAACTTCAGAATCTTTGGTTTTACAAGATTTAAAGCAGCCAACCTTTGAAGAAGTTGCAGATTACTCAAACTTTAATTTGGGTAAGGATGTTAACTGTAGAAATGCCATTAAAGGTCCACCTGCAGCTGTAGGAAGCAGCTTTTCAGCAAACTTGGTGGCATGTGATGCAAAGTCACAAGGTGCTTGTACCATTGACCAGTGATGCATCATTAATTGCAGTCGCCCAAGAGACATTGCTGAAAGCTGATATAGGCCAAGGTGAAAGTCCTTCGTGTGTGGGAGCTGAGCCTAGTTTTACTATACATACAATTATGCAAAATGACTCCTATTTTGTAGAGGGCCTGCAGGGGAAGGTTGAGTCTGACGTCATTACTCTGGATGGCCTAAATGAAAATGCTGTTGTATGCAGTGAAAGAGTTGCTGAACTACAAAGAAAGGTGAGACACAATAAAATGATAGTTGTAAGAAACGTGGCCTTTTTCAGTATTGTTTCAGGAAATGGTATTGTTTGTTTTTATTTTACTTTTTACTGTTTCCTGGGTACATGACCAATGTCATTTGACTGGTGAGTACATTGAGCTAGCAGCTTTAGAGAAATTTCATGGTGATCTAGAGATGCATGACAGCTCCCTGCACTGGCAGCCTACTTTACAACTACCATCTGAGAAGGAAAGCAATTTTGAAAAGCCTGTAAGTTTTTCTATTTGACATTTTTTTCTGGGCGGGGAGGGAATGTTTTATTTGAAAAATTTCCAAATTTTATTTGAAAATACTTTATTTGAAAAATTATATCCTTCAGTACCAGCTTGTAACTTGTACCTGTTCTTCATCTGATATCCAGGAATATGTTCCATTAGAGGTTGGTATAAAAGAAATGTTTATGTTTCATAGACTGTAAGACTTAGTTCTGTGGTGTCTTGGAAAAGGCATCCCATGGGGCTCCAGGCCTTTCATATTGAGGCAGCCTAACTCTTCCTAGTTGTGCCAGCAAGAGTCTTTAGACAGTGTTAAGATTAGGCTTATTCATGGGAACATCCAAAAGCTTGTACTTTGAATGTTTCCCTCTGGTCTTCAATGCACAAGCCTTGAAACAGTCCCTGGAATATTTAAGTATTTCTGTTTAGAAGCTCTTGAAAGACTTGACTTCAGAGGTGTCTTGAAAATTGTAAGACCCATGTTTGACCAGGAAGGATAATGAAGTGCTTAACGTCCAAACTGGCCAGTGTCTCTTCAAAGGGAAGTATCTCCTTCCCAAATGAGCAACATACTAATGTATATACATGTCTCTTCCCTCTCTCTATTTATATCATTATTACCATTGTGTGTGTGTGTACTAGAAACTGGCAACTCTAGGATGTCATAAAAATTTTATATCAGCCTTTTTTTTTTAAATTAAGTTCTGGGGCACATGTGCAGAACGTGCAGGTTTGTTACATAGGTATACAGGTGTCATGGTGGTTTGCTGCACCTATCAACCTGTCATCTACATTAGGTATTTCTCCTAATGCTATCCCTCCCCTAACCCCCTACCCCGCGACGGGCCCTGGTGTGTGATGTTCCCCTCCCTGTGTCATTCTTTTATAGAAGGCTTTTATTTGCTTGGATCCTTGGATCCCTTGGCATTAATGTTCCTCTGGTCCCGTTGAATGAATATCCTCTTTTGTTGTCTGGTACTGTAAGTCCCAAGGTGGGCCCTACTTCCTTGTGATATAGCCTTATATCCTGTTATTCATTAAATACAGTTAGATAAAATAGTGATGTACTTAATGTTACTTCTCTTTTCCTATGTATAAGATTGGTATGTTTTTGTAAAGCTCTATTAGTTTGGGTTACAACCACATTTAGACCTTTAGGTTCAGATTGTTGGTAGAAAATGAACAAAGATATTATGATGAACTTTTATTTATAATTTATTACATTTATTAAAGTTTTTTTAACACAGAATCACTAGGTTTATTTTCTTCAGTATTCCAAACTAGGCATTTTTTAATTTTAATCTGATAACTGGGGATGAAAATGATAGTTAACACTTTGTGCTCAAGTACTGTGCTAAGAGGTTACATGTATATATCAATTCGTTTTTGTCCTCTGTCAATCCTATCAAATAGAATTGTTAGAGATTATTATCATCCCTATTTTGCAATTGACACTTAGAGGATTTAGGAACTTGCTCATAATTATTCAGCAATTGGGGGAACCAGTATTTGAAACTAACCATATCTGTGTACTTAACCACCATACCATAAACTGTTCCCCCTCCCCCCACCTTTTAACTATTCTTGGTGAAACTAAGGTTAAGATTTTGCATTATTTTGGCAAGAGTAGAGGTTTTGAAGGAGATTGCCTAAAGTTGAGTTCAATAACAATGAGAAACAAAGTAACAACTTTTAAAGTGTTCTAAATTTTTAATACTACTTTTGTGACTTACATCAACCTTTCATGTAGATAAAATGTATTTTAAAAATAAAGATATATAGGTTCAGTTAATGTGCAGAGACTAGCTTTGACCACTGCTCCAAATTTTAATCTGTCCTTAAATATAGCCTGAAGTATTATTCTTTCAATCTAAGGAAGATGCTATTATTCCCTGTATTGTCTTTCAGTTGTAGCTCTATCTGTCTTAGTCTTAGATCTAGGAGTTATTTAATGTCAATATCAGAAAAGCAAGGAGCCAGATGTGGTAGTACTTTTTCTGCATGGCTTAGCTTGCTTTCAGGGGCTTGCTTACTCCTTGGTTTTTCCTTATGCTCCTCATCTGTGTCACAGAAGAGTCATTCATAGTTACTTGGTTCACTTTTATATCTACTCCTCATAAATGATTATTTGGGTATCCACGTATGTATGATGGAGCTTGGAACTGTGAAAAGAACATAGAGATTTTGAGTCAAAATCCAGTTCAGTTACTTTGTTAGCCTTGTGTCTTGAGCAAATGACTTCGGAGGATCACTTTCCTGATCTGCATAAGGAAATAGGAATAGTAATAACCTTATACATCGTACTATTAAATGGGGTAAGTTATGTAGCATTTATATAGTGCCTGGTTGTTAGTTCTCTTCACTTTGCTGAAACTAGACTACTAGAGTCTCTGGTGGTTTCCTACTTTCTATCATTATTTTGTTTTTCTTTCTCCTTTTTCTTGGTAGCAGCACATAATTAATATGCTTTTTTTTTTTTTTTTTTTTGAGGCAGAGTTTTGCTCTTGTCATCCAGGCTGGAGTGCAATGGCACAATCTCAGCTCACTGCAACCTCCATCTCCTGGGTTTAAGCAGTTGTCCTGCTGCAGCGTCCCAAGTAGCTGGGATTACAGGTGCCTGCCACTATGCCTGGCTAATTTTTTGTCTTTTTAGTAGAGACGGGGTTTCACCATGTTGGACAGGCTAGTCTCGAATTCCTGACCTCAGGTGATCCACCTGCCTCAGCCTCCCAAAGTGCTGGGGTTACAGGCGTGAGCCACCGTGCCTGGCCTAATATGCTATTTTAGTACCTCTTGTTTTGGCCATTTAGCTCTAAAAATTATTTAAGGTTTAAGCCTTAGATTTCTTTTCTCTCCCCTTCATATCCCCCCACCTTTGGAGACCTAGTTGCCTGTCTCTGTGTGGATGATTATCACCTCTGTTTTTATACCCTAATATTTGTCTAATTTATTTTGCATGTTTTCTTGTGAACATTGTCATCACCCCAAATTCAACTTGCTCTATAGCAAAATAACTCATGTTTTTCCTAAAATTAGACTGACTTGTAGAGTTCCTGAGTTTTTATGAAAGGTATTAGTATTTTTCTGGTTTCTTGGTCATCTTTCATTCTTTCTTCATTATTGATTAAACATTGGGAAGATAAACGAATCTTGATTTCTGTTTTCTCCTGGTTCTTTCCATTTTCAATTAGCAATGAAGATCTGCTGGTTTCTTAAATAAATACTTCTCATATTTTTCATTTTACATTTTCTTTTGTATTACCTACTTTTTTTTTTTTTTTTTGAGACAGAGTCTCCCACTGTTGCCCAGGCTGGAATGCAGTGGTGCGGTCTCAGCTCACTGCAAGCTCCGCCTCCCGGGTTCACACCATTCTCCTGCCTCAGCCTCCTGAGTAGCTTGGACTACAGGTGCCCGCCCCCATGCCCGGCTAATTTTTTGTATTTTTAGTAGAGACGGGGTTTCACCGTGTTAGCCAGGATGGTCTCGATCTCCTGACTTCGTGATCCGCCCGCCTCGGCCTCCCAGAGTGCTGGGATTACAGGCGTGAACCAACGTGCCTGGCCGGTATTACCTACTTTAATAGTTCTATATTTTGAAACTTTAACATAATGAAATTTTTTTGACGTCAAGCTTGTAATAAAAATTTTTCTTTCTGTGTTTGAAAGCTGTAGAAGAAAAACTGCTGTAAACTATAAACACACACTGTCTCTCACAAGTGTCTATATATTATATATGGTCATGCCACATAATGATATTTCAGTTAGTGACAGACTGCATATATGATGGTAGTCCCATAAGATTAAAATACTGTATTTTTACTGTACCTTTCCTATGTTTAGATACACAAATGCCACTGTGTTACAGTTGCCTACAATATTTAGAACAGTAACATGCTGATAGGTTTGTATCCTGGAAGCAGTAGGCTAGACCATATAGCCTAGGTGTGTAGTAGGCTACACAGTTGTAGGTTTGTGTAAGTCACTCTGTGATGTTTGCACAACAACAAAATTGCCTGACAGCACATTTCTCAGAACATACCCACATCATTAAGTGATCTATGACTGCATATTATATATATGCATATATATTTATATATATTTATGTGTATGTATATATGTGTATATATATAGCCTGTACTTCAGAGAAGTTTCCTGTAGGAGTGAGGTAATTGAAAACTATGAACTTTGTGCTATGTGGAGAGCAGGGCTTCTTAGCAGCCTTATCATTTTGAGTTGGATAATTCTTTGTTATGGTGGGAGGCGTGTTTCCTGAGTATTGTAGGATGTTTTGCATCATCCATCCCTGGCCTCTATTCACTAGATACTAGTAACATCCCCTCCCCTCACAAGTTATGACAGCAAAAAATGTTTCCAGGCATTGTCAAATGTCCCTTGATGGGTACAAAATCTTCACAAGTTGAAAAGTAGAGAAACCTGTATGGGCAGTAGATGTAGATATAGAAATAGATATGGAATGTTCATTTCCACACTTCACATGGCTTCCTAAGAATGTTCATTACTACACAATGAAAAATTGATGAAAGAGGATAGAAAAATTCATGCTTATGTACATTTTTAGACTTCATCCTGAGAAGATGTGACTGAAATAATCTTTTTAGGGAAATAAAGACAATCTAAAAATGATATATATTTTTATGTGAGGGTGCACTGTGAATTTGGTGAAAAGTTGTACATGTTTAGGTATTAATGTCACCAATATTGGTTTCTAATTTCTTTTCTAGCAAGAACTTGTGACTTGATGAAACATTAGGAACTTCTTTTTGAGCAGTTACCCTTTACTTCACTACCAATTTATAGTTTCCACTACTTTTGTTTTAAGAAGTTTGAGGACTTATGCTTGTTGGTAACCGATCACAGTTATAGTTCTTTGATACTCTCATTTTTCTTCTAAACATTTGTGAGTTTCTAGAAAATATTCCTGTTTTCTTTTTCCTTCTTACTGTTTCTTGTCCACAGTGCACCTCTCTACCTTAAAAAGAAATACCTGAGCTTGTCCAGAATAATCCCATGGTTCAAATTCTGCGATGATCATAAGGAGCAAACTTCTGAGTAACAGAACACTTCTAAGCATACTATCTATAATATTTTATCTAGACAGATTTCTAAGCCCTCAGGATGATTTAGTCTTCTAGAGTTGACCCAATAAAATATGACCTATATATGAATTCAGAAGGTTTGAGATTATGATCTTAAGTAACTAGTATAACTTCTTAGTGTTCCTCTTTGTAAAAATGAAGGATTATTTTTAGCAGATGAGGTTTGAAATTAATATCTTATTTTCTTCATTTCTTCGTAGGTGGGTCATTCTAATCTGGGCATTAATGAGTCTTTTTCATTTTTATTGCCTTCATTTGTTCCACATAAGCCAACAAGAGAGTCGGAATATCACTCTTCAGATCTCAGAATGTTGAGGATGTCTCCTGACACTGTGCCAAAGGCTCCTAAACATTTAAAAGCAGGTACGTAGAAAAAGGAGATAGTAAATGTCCTACTTACGGATACCTTGTGAAAAAATATCTTGTTAGGTCTATCTAATTTTGTATTTTTTAATATCTATAATAATTATACTTCAGATTAGATGTGTTTATAAATCCTGTCTTAGTCTCTTTAGACTGCTATTACAAAAATATCTTAGTACTTTAAGTATGGCTTATAAACAACAGAAATTTGTTTCTTGCAGTTCTAGAGGCTGGTTCCAAGATCAAGTGCTGGGAGATTCAGTGTCTTGTGAGGGCCTGTTTGTCATAGATGACATGTTCCTCTGTGCCCTCCCATGGTGGAAGGGGCAGGGGGTCTCTCTGGAGTCGTTTTTTGTAATGGGCACTAATCCCAAACATGTGGCCTGTGTCCTCATGATCTAATTGCTTTCCAAAAGCCTTACCTCCTTAATTTCATCACCTTGGGGATTAGGATTTCAACCTATACTTTTCAGGGGGGACACAAACATTCAGACCATCACAAGTCCCCTGATGTTTTATTAGAGGAATCATTTGGTTTTTCATCGCATTCTACATGGCAGTGTTTAGAACTGAATTATATGGAGGAGTCTGATGTTAGAATCTGTTTATTCCTTTGTGTGACTTGAAGGGAAAAAGGAATTGATTGAGCCCAAGATGACAAGAGTGGATGCAGATAAGTTTGTAGAGAGGAAATTGAGAGAAATCAGTTTTGAGGTAAAAGCAAGATTATCTGCTGAGGGAGGTGAGTAGTGGTGGAATTAGGTTAGAGGCATTGAGGAGAGTGGTTTGGTGAAGACTTACAGTTTATGTTGAAGTGAATTTGAGATGGAGCTGACCAAGGGAAAGTAAAAGGATTGGAGGGCAGTTCTGAGAAGTCAGCTCAGGTTAGTGATAATGATTTTATAATATTGTCAGCCTGTATAGAATCTCTGATTTGTTTTTCCTGCTAACACTCAGGAATGGAGATGATGAATTACAGTATTGATCCTTGGTTCAGGAATACATTGAATGGGTATGGTAGAAGGATAGCAGTCAAAGAGAGAAGAGTTGATCACCTATTGGTTTCAGCCTACATAGGGAAAGAGAAGCCAGAAGAGTTGTTATTCTAGGAGAAAATAGAAGGACCAGAGATTTCTTTATGAAGTTGATTAGATGAGGTGGGAATAAGTTACTGAGAGCACTAGAAGAATAGGTAATTTTGGTCAGATTGAATAAGTAGATTTAAATGAGGATCAGTTTGAAGGGTGATGAAATCCATTAAATAGCCCTGGGATTGGATGGTAGAAATTGAATAAAAATTACTGGAGTAAATAAAATTTTGGGTCAGGTACAGTGTCTTATGCTTGTAATCTCAGTACTTTGGGAGGCTGAGGTGGGAGGATCACTTGGAAGAGTCTGGAAAGGATTGGTATTAATTGTTTTTGAATAGAATTTACTGTGAAACTACCTGGGCTGTTCTTTGTAGGAAGTTTTTAAATTGCTAATTTCATCTCTTTCCTTGCCATAAGTCTATTTAGATTTTATATTTTTCATGAATCAGCTTTTGCAATTTGTGTCTTAAATAGAATTTGTCCATTTAGCTAGGCTATCTGTTTACATATATCTGTTCATAATATTCCCATGTAATCTCTTTCATTTCAGTAAGGTTAGTTACAATGCCCTCTCTTTCATTCCTGATTTTAGTAACTTAAGTTTTCCCTTCTTTTGTTCTCCCTTTGGTGAATCTAGTTAAATTTTGTCAATTTTGCTGATTTTTTCAAATAAACTGGTTTCTTTATTTTTTTCTAATCTTTATTTTTCTTTTCTGATTTTTGTTTCATTTATTTTCATTCTAGTCATTATTTTTCCTTCCTTCCATTTGCTTTGGGTTTAGTTTGTGCTTTTATTCTGTTTTTTAAGGTGGACAGTTAGGTTATTGATTTAAGCTCTTTCTTCTTCTTATTACAAATATGTATACAAATTGATAAATTCCTAAGCACTGTGTTAGCTGCATGTCCTAAGTTTTGGTTTATTATATTTTTGTTTTAGTTCATCTAAACTTATTTTCTAGTTTACATTGTGATTTTTCTACATTTACCCTTTGGTTATTTAGGAATGTGTTGTTTAATTTCCTTCTGTTATTATGTTTCATCTGGTTCAATTTTTGTTGGAAAACATACTTTGTATGATTTCTGTCTTTAAGTTTTATTGAGGCTCGTTTTATGTTTTAGCATGTAGTTTATTCTGTAGAATGTACAGTTTGTACTTGAGAAGAATGTGTATTCTGCTGTTGTTAGGTGGTGTGTTCTATAGATGTCTTTCAGCTCTAGTGGGTTTAGCTGTTCAAATTTTCTGTTTCCTTGTTGGTCTTCTGACTAGCTGTTTTCTCCATTTTCAAAAGAAGGGTACTGAAGTCTTCAACTCTTTTTGTTTAATTGTCTATTTCTCCCCTTTTTTCTCTCAGATTTGCTTCACATATTTTGACATTATGATGTTAGATCCATATATGTTTATAATTGTTATATATTCCTGATGAATTGACCTTTTTTTGGAGACAGAGTCTTGTTCTGTTGCCCAGGCTGAAATGCAGTGCGTGGCTCACTGCAACCTCTACCTTCTGGGTTCCAGCGACTCTCGTGCCTCAGCCTCCTGAGTAGCTGGGACTATAGGCGTGTGCCCACCATGCCCAATTAATTAGAATTGACCTTTTAATTGTTATAAATTGTTCCTCCATATTTTGAGTAACTTTTTGTTTTAAAGTCTGTTTTGTCTTAGGTTAGAATAGACACTTCAGCTCTTATGGTTGCTGTTTGTATGGTTTATCTTTTAAAATCCCTCTACTTTCAACCTATTTGTATTATCAAAAATGATGTATCTGCTGTAAAGAGCATATAGTTAAATCTTGAGTTTTTAATTTTAAAATTCTATCTGTTTTTGCCTTGTGATGTGATTATTTAATCTGTTTGCATTTAATGTCATTATTGATGTGATTGGATTCACATTTTCTGGCTTACGTTTGGTTTTTCATGTGTCTTGTGTCCTTTTTCTGTTCCCCTTTTATTATTGCATGAAGTGAATATTTTCTAGTATGACACTTTCAGTTTAATTTTTAAAATGATTTTCTAGGTAGTTTTTTTTAAAGTTATATTCTTAGTGATTACTCTGGGGCTTATAATATTTATCTTATCAGAATATACTTCTGATTCAATTTATACTAACTTAATTCTAGTATGGTACAGAAACTTTACTCCCGTATAGCTCTATTCCCTCTTTTTTTTTGGTGCTATTATTGTTATACATACTACTCACACACGTATATAAATGCCTTTAAGTTTTTGTTTTTTTTTTTAGTCGGGGACTTGCTCTGTTGCCCAGGTTGGATTGCAGTGGCATGATCATAGCTCACTCTAACCTGAGCTCAAGTGATCCTCCTGCCTCAGCCTCCTCTGTTGTGAGGCCCACAGGTGTGTACCACTACACTGAGCTAATTTTTCAAAAAATTTTTTTGGTAGAGATGGGATCTCACTATGTTATTAGTCTTGAACTCCTGGGCTCAAGCAGTCCTCCCACCTTGGCCTCCTAAAGTGCTGGGATTACACGTGTGAGCCACCATGCCAGCCTGCTTTATATATTTTCAAATTGCTCTTTAAATCAGTTAACAGAATACAGGAAATGAAGTATGTCTTTTTGTAGTTACCGATGTAGTTATTTTTACTAGCACTATTTGTTTTGTTATGAAAATGTTACTACTATCTGGTGTTACTTGTTTTTCAGCCTTTGGAACTTCCTATGTTATTTCTTGTAAGATGGATCTGCAAGTTCCCTGTTTTATGTATCTGGCGTGTTTTTATTTCATCTTTTTGAAAGATAGTTTTGCTGGGCTTGGAATTCTTGGTTGACAGTCTTTTTCTTTTCAGCACTTTGAATATGTCTCTTCACTATCTTCTGGCCTTCATAGTTTTGGATGAGAAGTCAGCTGTTATCTTATTCATGTTCTCTTGTATGTAATTTGTTTTCTCTTGTTGCTTCCAAGATATGCTCTTTGTCTTTCACTTTCAGTATCTTGATTATGATATGTCTCTATGTGAATCTCTGTGTTTATTCTACTTTGAGCTCACTGAACTTGTCAGATGTATAGTTAATATCTTTTGTCTAATTTGGGAAGTTTTCAGCCATCATTTCTTTGAGGATTTTTTCTGCTTCTTTCTCTTTTTTGCCCAGTTATCATCTCTTGCATCACAGTCCACATATATCAGCACCCCTAATCTTGTCTCACTGGTCTCTAAGCCTTTGTTTGTTTTTGTTTCTTCTTTCTTTGCTTCAGTTTGCATAGTCTCTATTCATTTATCTTGATGTTTGCTGATTTTTTTCTTCTGTCTTGTCCATATCTACTGTTGAGCCTCTAGTGAATTTTTCACTTCAGTTACTGTACTTTTCAGCCTTAGAATTTCCATTTTGTTATTTTCTAAGTTCTGTCTTTCATTCTGTATTTGATGTGACTTTGCCATCATACCTATCTTTAATTCTTTAAGCATCCTTTTCTTCCCTTTGAATATGTTTATAATAGCTGCTTTTAATTGTTACTGGCTAAGCCCAATGTGTGTGCCCTCTGAAAGGTAAATTTGCCTATTTTGTTCCCCCTGTGAAGGGGTCACACTTTCTTTTGCACATCTTACTTTTCTGTTATTGTTCTAAACTGGACGTTTTGGATAATATCTTGTTGCAGCTCTGGATATTGATCCCTTCTCTGGGCTGGTAACGTTTGATATTTTTGTTGTTTCGTTATTTAGTGTCTGGTTTGGATTAGTTCTTAATTGCTCACCACCAAGATCTCCATTGTTTTTGTCAGTGTCCTTAGGCTTGAGCTTTTTATGCTCTGTTTCAAACAAAGTCATTCTCCTTATGGAGATGTGTGGAGCTCTCTGTTCTTATGGCTTGCCTCTGCTGGGCAGAAGCTTTGTGGCACTGCTCTGTATCTGGGGGCAGGTTCATTGGTCTACTTCTCTTGGAATAACACACCCCTTCTCTATGATTGTGATGCTGAAAGGGGTAGTAGTTAGTCCCTGTTCTTGGATTGCCTCTCCTGGAGTGGACCCTCACTCCACCTACAAGTGAGCTGGGGGTAGGGATGATTAGAGCTTGGTATTCTCAGGTTGGGATAAATCTTCCACTCTATAAGTGGGGACTGGGTGAAGGTAGGTTGCTTCTTGTGTTGTTTCTTTTTCACTTATTAGCTAACATCAACAGCCAGTGTTCTTTCTTTACAGCCTTTCTCCCATGACATCCCTTCCATTCTGCCTTGTTACTTTATGGATCGTATCTACTGATGTACCCAGTTGTACCATTTTAATTATTTGGTTAAAATGGTACATCTCATTTCTACCAGTAAGATCCTGAGCTCCTCACTTATCTCTCAGAGTAGTATTGTGCTGTATGGGCTGACATTAAAGATTTAATATTATGCACAGTCTTGACATCTGAAACTGCGAGGTCCTCAAAGGGCCTAACCACAAGTTTACCTGCCAGATATGCCCTCTACTCAGTGGAGAGGCTTCCTACACAGCCAGTTCTTCTATCAACGAGACCAACTGTATTCTACCTGGTACTCAACCTCAGATTTCCATCCCATGCTAACCTGTGAAATTATTCAAACAAGCCAATCACACCCTCCTACAGAAATAAAAAAAATCACGCTCTTTTCTTGCTACTACAAGCCTGCCTCCTATGGTTCCTGTTTACTCGTTCTGTTCCCATGTACAATCCCTGTGTGGCCCTGCATGTCCTGTGTCTTCCCCAGCTGTGAGTATATGTGACTAATAAACTACCGTCAGTCTCCTCTGTGCAGTGTTGTATTTAGCCAATCCAGATCTATCAGGCAGCAATCCCTCCCTCATCAATAGGGTGAAGAGGAGGCAAAAGAAAGAAATATTTGTGTCCATGTTTGATTCATATTGTATTGAAATGGTCCCTTGATATTAGTTGCCCTGATTTCTTATTTTTTTATTGGCAAACCTCTGGGTCCTATTTTATAACAAGCAGAAAGTAACTGCCAAGCTTCATTTCAAATTGGCTCCAAAGTATGAGTCAAGATAATTTACATATCAGGTAAAGTAGACACACTTAACATAATTTGAATAGTTTAGATTACAAGATAAATTGGAAACAAGTTTGGATCTGGATTATTGAAAAAGAATCGGTGACACCATTAGAAAGTAGGGTAGTGAATTTAGTTTTGGACATACTGAGTTTGATTTGTCGGGAGATCATTTGGTTTGAAGTGTCTTCAAAGCCAGTTGAACAAATGGGAAATAGGAAATACAAATTTGGAAGATCTTAAATAATTTGTGATTAAAATTATGCCGTAAGAGTAGTTAAGCTTTCTGAAGGAGCATGGGTAGAGAGAAAAGCAAAATGTCAAGGATGGTACCTCATGGAATACAATAGCAGAAAGAGGCCAATAGAAAATATCAAAAAAGACAGATATTTTGTTTAAATTCTTACTCTGATTTAGTTCTTACCTCTTCAGTTTCCATTCCAATTTCTTAGTGCCTTTACTATATCACACTGGATTTTGTTGCACGAACATTTAGGATTGCTTTGTCTTCTTGGTGGATTGATCCTTTACAATTATGTAAGAATTCTCTTTGTCCCTCGTAATTTTCTTTGTTCTGAAGATTATCTTATATAGCCACTCCTATAGAATAGTTCTTTTCTTTCTTCTTCTTCCTCTTCTTCCTCTCCTCCTCCTCCTTTTTTTCTTCTTTTTTCTTCTTCTTCTTCCTCCTGCTCCTCCTCTTTCTTCCTCTTTTTTCTTCTTTCTTCTTTCTTTTTCTCCTCCTCCTCCTCTTTTTTTTTTTTTTTAAATAAAGATAAAGTCTCACTCTGTTGCCCAGGCTGGAGTGCAGTGATATGATCATAGCTCCACAGCCTTGAATTCCTGGGCTCAAGCAGTCCTTCTGCCTCACTCTCTGAGTAGCTAGGACTATAAATGCACACTAATATGCCCAGCTAATCTTTTTTTTTTTGTAGAGACAAGGTCTTGCTATGTTGCCTAGGCTGGTTTTCAGCTCCTGGCCTTTCAAAGCCTGATCCTCCCATCTTGACTTCACAAAGTGCTGAGATTACAGGCATGAGCCACCGTACCCGGCCTTTTTATCTGTCTTTTAGTTTCAACCTTACTATGTCATTATGTTTGAAGTGAATTTTTTGTAGACATCATATAATTGGGTCATTTAAAAAAAATCCTGTCTGCTAATATCTGTATTTTAGTTTGTTTGTTTATTTATTTTGAGATGGAGTCTTGCTCTGTCACCAGGCTGGAGTACGGTGGTGTGATCTCGGCTCACTGCAACCTCCACCTCCCAGGTTCAAGCGATTCTCCTGCCTCAGCCTCCTGAGTAGCTGGGACTATAGGTGCACACCACCATACCAGGCTAATTTTTGTATTTTTAGTGGAGACAGGGTGTCACCATGTTGGCCAGGATGGTCTGCATCTCTTGACCTTGTGATCCACCCGCCTTGGCCTCCCAAAGTGCTGGGATTACAGGTGTAGTTTGTTTATTTATACAATTTATACCTAAAGTTAATATTGGTCTATTATGCCTTAAGTCTGCAATTTTATTATTTATTTTCACTTTATTCCTGTTTCTCTTGTCTTGCCTTACTATGGGTTTCATGAACATACTTTAGAATTTCACTTTAATTTTTAAAAATTATTTATTTATTTTTGAGACAGAGTCTCGCTCTGTCGCCCAGGCTGGAGTGCAGTGGTGCTATCTCGGCTCACTGCAAGCTCCGCCTCCCGGGTTCACGCCATTCTCCTGCCTCAGCCTCCTAAGTAGCTGGGATTACAGGTGTGTGCCATCACGCCTGGCTAATTGTTTTATATTTTTAGTAAAGACGGGGTTTCACCATGTTGGCCAGGCTGGCTTCGAACTCCTGACCTCAAGTGATCCACCTGCCTCAGTCTCCCAAAGTGCTCGTATTACAGGCGTGAGCCAATGCACCCGGCCCTTGGTGTGGATTTCTTTGGGTTTTCCTGTTTGGAGCTGACTTACTTTCTTTAATCTGTAAGTTTATGTCTCATCAAATTTGGGATGTTTTCAGACTTTGTTTCTTTGAATTTGACTCATCTTATTTGCATCATTTGATCGTCTTCTCCCTCTCTCTCGCGTTCGCTGTCTTTCTCTCTCTCTCTCTCTTGCTGTCTCTTTCTCTCTCTCGGCTCACTGAAACCTCTGCTTCCGGGGTTCAGGCAATTCTCGTGTCTCAGCCTCCTGAGTAGCTGGAATCATGGGCGTGTGCTACCACGCCCAGCTAATTTTTTGTATTTTTAGTAGAGACGGGGTTTCATCATGTTGGCCAGGCTGGTCTTGAACTCCTGACCTTAAGTGATCCACCCACCTCAGCCTCCCAAAGTGCTGGGATTATAGGCGTGAGCAACCACAGCCAGCCTTGATTGTCTTTTCTCAGTTTGTGATTTTCCTGGTTCTTAGTGGTAAAAATGAATTTTGATTATATCCTGGACATTTTGGATATTATGTTAGGAGACTTTGATTCCTATTTATAATCTTCTGTTTAGCAGGCAGTTGCTCTATTTAGGTTTTCCATATAGGCTCTGGCCTATTTATGTGGCTGTGATCCCAAAGATAATTTAGTTTTCAGGGGAGTTGCATTCTGGTCTACTTCAGTGGTACCATTGAGGCTCCCACTCAGTCCCTGTTGGTGATGCTTATGTGGGTGGAATGGTCTTCCTCAAGGCCTGCTGGTGCTGTGTGGGAAGGGGGAGATGCTAACCCACAGAGTAGAGAACATTTCCCTGGGCCTGCCCCTGGACCAACTGGTGTCAGTGGGTCACCCACTTGATTCTTGTTGATGGCATTCATGGGGGTAGAAAATGCTTTTCTAGGCCTCCTGATGCATCTAGGTAGGATGCTGGGCCCCTGCGATGGAGAACATTTCCTTGAACCTACTCTCTGGGTTTCTCAATGCTGGTGGACTTCCCATTCAATTTTTGCCAGTGCCACTGGGGAAGGAAAGTGCCTACCTGAGCTGTCTTTTACCACAGGAGAGTTAGGAGATGGTGGACCTAGGTCTTCTTTTGTTACTGGCTAGAGGACAGGGAGATGCCAAACCTGTTGGGACTCTCTGCCTGGTTTTTGCTGGCACTACAGTTCTGGTGGTGCAAGCCTACCTGTTGCTGCTGGGTTGGAGTAGGGTGTGGGGAGATGGGACTGTCTGCTAAGTCTGCTGGGCTGCCCGTTTCTTGGTCCATGGCCCACAGACAGCAGGCTTTTCTTGGACTTCTTTCTGCCCTCCTTTGTTCCCTTTCTCCTTCCCACTATTCCTATTCCTATTCCTATTTCTGGTCTTAGTTCCACACTGCAGGCCTCTCCAGGGTCCAGCCTCAGATATAAGAGAGTTAAAAAGAAAACTAAGGAAGTCATTGCCATGTTGTTCTCCAGTCTGGAGGTCCTTAGCTAGTCTGCGTTTCACTTTCTACCTTTCAGTTTTTTTTTTGTCTTTTGGTTTCTAGGGAAGTGGAGGGAAAAGCAAATTTATATCATTTTGTCAGGGACCAGAAGACAACTGGAGTTTTGAAAACTTGACTTAGATGTGCTATTGTCTTTGGTTGTTGGTAGAAATAATCATATGGGGGAAGTGAGGTAAAGATCTTTCTCAGGCAATATTGAATAAACTCAGGGATCTCAAGCCACAGAAGATGGGGACACCTATGCCATGAAACTTTCCTAACTTTTCTAAAATCTGCAGCCCGTGTCCTGAACTATTAATAATAGCTGACATTTATTGCTTGTTCACATTGCTAAGCATTTTATGTATTATTATTATAATGTATATTATATAATACAGGTTGAGCATCCCTAATCTGAAAAACCACAATCCAGAATGGTCCAAAATCTGGAACTTTTTGACTGCTGACATGATATTCAAAGGAAATACTCATTAGAGCATTTTGGATTTCAGATTTTTGGATTAGGTATGCACAATATGTTCTTTTATCATATTATTATTATGCCATATTGTTTTATATTTTTAATCTGACCTATGATGATGGGCACTGCTATTATTCTATTTGCTATCTGAGCAAAATGAAACTTAGAGTGACTTGCCCAAAGTCCCACTTTCTCTAAGAGGATTTTGATAGCTTCATTCCATATTGTTCTCTCTGTTTCTCAAGTTTTAAATGCCTTTATAACCTTACCATAAACATATCACACCATCAGTTTTTCCAAATTCTTTCTCAGAGAGGGCACCAATTTAATTTCTATTATATACTTAACACTAATCTTGGCATATGATAAAGGCATGAAAGAGTCTCGATGATTGTTTGCTAACTGAAGAGTTCATCAGTTAGTGGTACAGTACTGGCTGCCTCAGCTTGTTTACAGCATCAGGTAGTGACATAGTAGGAAACAATGCTTTGTGCAAGAAAGGATTTTAACTTCTTCCTAGGTAATATCAACACCCAGGGCTTCAGTTATTTCCTATGACTGATGAGTTCCAATTGTAGGACTCTATCTAGATATATCTCATACTCCAAATGTTTGTATCTGACTACTATGAAATGTCTTCATTTGGATGTCCCATAGGTATCTTAATGTCAGAACTTTAAAAATGGAGCCAATCATCTCTTTAAACCTACTCTTCCTTCTCTATTTCTTCTCAGTGAATGAGTGTCTACTTATTAGCCAAGCTAGAAACTTGTATTCTTCTTTCACCCTCATCCCTGCCCAATCACTTAATCTCGTTGATTCTATCAGACTCCCATTCTCTTTTCTGAATTACTGCATTAGTAATGGAAAACTGATCATCTTCTCTGCCACTTATTTTCAGTATTAAGCCAAAATAGTCTGTTTACAGGGCAGACTTGATAATGTCACTTCCTAGTTTGGAGTTCTTGCTTTCCATTGTTAACCTTGGGGTAAATTCTAAACTCCTTAGTACATAGTAGAAGGTCCCTGCTTACCTTCTTAGCCTTATACTTGCCTCTTTTTTCATAGTGAACTACTCTCATTTCTTCATGATGCTAGACCCTCTTGTCTCCTTGATCTCATAGATGCTATTTTCTCTACTTGGAATGCTTCCCTATTTTTTATATGCCCATCTTTGCCTAATTTCTGGTTTTTATCCTTTCATTCTGAGCTTTGCTGTCTTTCAGGAAAATGTTTCTGTTTTTCACTGTTCACCATGACTCTTTAAGAAAGAGCCAGATACTCCTTACATATGTTGCTATAGTATCCTGTAAACAGCCTCCCTAATCACTGCCCTTACACTGAATTTAGTAATTGCTTTTTTTTACTTGTTTCTGTCTCCCACAGGACTTTAAGCTCTTTGAGGGTAGAGCTCGGGCTTTGCTAATATATATATTTTTGCACCTGGCTGTGAAAGCTACTCAATAAATATCTGTTGAATGACTTTATGAATTGATGAATATTAAATGAATTAACATGCCTGGGTAGACTGGGGGAGGGGTAGAATAAGATGGTAGGCTTTGTATTTTGGCAGGGATCAGTTCTCAAGAAAGTGGATCAAATAAATGTAAGTATCATATTTCATTGACTATATGTCAGTTGTAATGAAGGCCTATGGATTAGTGTCTTATCACTATTTTATTGATCTCTGGTTAACATGAGGCTGTCTCTGTGACTTGAATGGCCTATATGTCTTTCTTTATGTTTTTTGGTGGGTATTGGGGTTTATGTTCCCTGCCTCTAAACCTAATTGATTTATCTTTTAGTTTTCCTGCCATAATTTTTATTGACGCCCAGTCTTTTGTTTAACCTTACTACCTTAGGTTGTTATTTGTTGGATATCTTCTCCCTTGAAGATGCAAGTTACTCAGGGCAGGGAGGGAACCTGCGTGTGGCTCAGAGTAAGGGAGGACTTTAGTTTGGGGCAGGACTTTGAAGGGTTCTCTTAAAGATGAGGAGCCTGGAAGCAAGATCTGAAATTACATCTTCTCCTGTCCCAGAGGGAATTTCTTTGAGTAGGGGTGCACCTATCAGGGTGGTTTGATGACTGGGTATTACTATGACCAGGTTATAACTTTCCCAGGGTTATTCTGTTAGGAAATAGTGTTTGGGATTTGATGTTTGAGTACAGAGTTCATGAACTTTTCACAACACCAGCAGTTCATTAGCTTTTTGAAACCTCTGCCCACTTAGGAATGAGGAAGAGTCTATAACGCACTTTACCTAACAATTCCTGCTTTCGCATTGAAAAAGAACTTAGTGATAGCAACAACAAAATTAGGAATTAAATTACAGGCTATAATGTTAGCTCGTGTATGTGATTTTTGTGTTATAAAACAGTGCCCTATTATCTTTTGAAACTAAGCAATTTTATTACATTTAACTTGATTTTGTATTGCAAGTTATTTAAATGGCATACATTTATCAACAGGACAACGTTAATGAATTATCAGTATGCAGGAACTTTGGAAGGGTTATATTTACGTCCACTGTGGTAATAAGGGTATCAAAAATCCTGTTTGAACTGTGATATATTGTGTTAAGTTTAGTTATGAGAGAATATAGTTTAAGATAATGAATGTAGAGATAAACATCTATGAGTTAACTGAGGGATTAACGAAATACAACACAATTATAATTATTTAGTTATCAATAATTAATAATTAGGAACTTATAAAAATGATATAGTAATTAATTAGAAAGCAAGAATAACAACAATGAAGACAAAGACCCATTTAAAATATCACTGGTGTCTTTTTAAAAAAACATGAATTTGAGTTTACTTCTCTGTACACACAATAGGTGCTTTTGCCAGACTTTTTAAAAAAAAATCTTTTTTATTTTTAATATTTATGAGAACATAGTAGGTGTATATATTTATGGGGTACATGAGATATTTTGACACAAACATACGATGTGTAATAATCACATCAAGGTAAATGGAGTATCTGTCACCTCAAGCATTCATTATTTCTTTATGTTGTGAAAATTCCAGTTATACTCTTTTAATTTAAAATGCGTTATAAATAATTGTTGACTGTAGTCACCGTATTGTACTATATCATATTCTAGAGCTTATTCATTCTAACTACATTTTTGTACCCATTAACCATCCTCCTCACTACCTTCCCAGCCCCGTTACAGACTTATTAGTGACTGAATTAGAGGGCTCAAAATGAGAGCTATAGTAATTTATTTGTGTGTGCTAGTATTAAAACCCATAATAATTGACTTGGAACGATTACTAGTAAGAGGCTCTTAGTCATATGTAAAATGGAAGTATGGAATTGTACCTCATTTTGTCTGTGAGAAATAAAGGGCTTGCTTATTCTTCTTATGTCAGAATATACTTGGGGAAATAAAACCGTGCTGTCTTCGTCACCTAGGAAGCCTTCTGTGTTACTAAGCACCTTAGTATGGAGAAGAGTTCTTGAGTAAATTGTACCCAGGTTGTTAGTCTTAATGTCATCTCTAAGAGGCATACAGTTCCCACCCAATATACAACTTTGGTGTAGTATAGTCTTTTCTGGCAGCCATCTTCCTCTTCTTGGTCGAAACTTACCTCTTCAACTCACCCCTAGTTCTGAAAATGAATCTCCAAAGATTATATCAGTATGTAGTAATATTGTTAACACTCACACTTAGTGTATTCTTCTTTCCCAGGGCTGAGAGAATAATAAGGACTCTAAAAACATACCATTTTTCATCATGAACTCCTTATGTACATAGACACATTTTATAAATCATAGTTAATGGATTTGTGATCACCATTCTTCTGACAGTTTGACATATATGTCCTTAACTTTATATAGAACTGACAAGAATTCTTCTTTAACATCGTGCATCTCCTCCCTCGCTTTTAACAGCTTAACCTATAGTCGTTCTTCCAGTTTTCTTTACTAATCTTTTCCTTTACCCCTGAGGTTAAAAAGACCTTATCTTATGTAACCTGGATCTTTCAAGGACCTGGGCTGTACATCTTAACTCCTTAGCTATTTATCTCATTTGTCCCCATTCATGGTGTCACTAATAATTTGTAATGGCCAAAGGGATATAAAAACTTTGAGAAATCAGGAAATCATTTAGAAAAACAAGGTTTTGTTTTGTTAATCTGTTTTGGTTTATTAGCTTCTTGAGCCTGTTTTGTTTCCTCACAAAAACTTTTCTTATTTTCTTTAGACCCAGCAGGCAAGAACCTCACAAAATTTTGTAACTCATATTCCTTCTCAGGTTACAATGCATGTTACATTTTTAAATTTTTTACTTTTCTTGAAGAGTTAATACTTGATACTTCTAGTTCTTTACTTTGAAATTCACTCCTCAACCCATTTCATTCTATATTCAGCTCCTTTGAAGCTCGTCAGTGGCCATAGAAAGCCAGTCAGTTGTAGTGGAAAGAGCTCAGAACTTGGATTTAGAGTTTAAGGGTTAAAGTACCAGTTTTTGTCACTTACCCACCTACAATTCTAGAAAAACTATGTATCTTTGCACTTAAAATGTGGTCTGAGGACCAATAACATTGGGCATCCCTGGGGAGCTTGTTAGAAATGCAGAATTTCAGGTCCCACCCAGACCTACTGAGTCAGAATCTGCAAGTTAACAAGATCCCAACATTGAGAAGCACTGTTACATGGTCATCTTTGCAACTCGGTTTCCCTATACGTAAAAAATAGATAATACTTGCTCTATATATCAATCATCTTAACACCATCTGACACATCATATGTTTTACCAATTTATTGTCAGCCTCCTCCTGCTAGAATACAAATTAGCTCTGTGAGGTAGGGATTATTGTCTGTTTATTGCTGTATGTAGAACAGTGCCTGGAACATAGTAAGCATTCATGTATTTTGAATGAACAATGAATGAAGGGACAGCTTGTCAAATCCTGTCATTTCTGTTGCAGTCACTTACTTTACACTGCTGTTTAAAACTGCTTTCATTTAGAATTATTGTATTAGTGCAAATATAGAACATTTCTATAGAAATGTTTGTTGGATTGTGCAACCTAGATTTTTACATTCCCTTCTCACTCATCTTGAAAACTTTAAAACTGTAAACAACTTGCCATGCTATACAGAATTAAGTTAAAACTCTTCAGAGTAACCTTTAGAGTTTTTTCAGTTTTATGTACTTAAATATATATATATTATACAGGGTGCATTTGTTGGGAGAGTCCTTCAAACTCACTGCACGCATAGCATCCCTCTAGGCCATATTGTACTGCCCCTGTGGGACTTGGGGGCAGGAGGAACCCGTGAAAATAAGCTGATGAGCCTTTGCTGTACCAGGGATCATGAAGTCTTTTGTCTCTGACTGAAGACCTTATGTCTTCTGCCAGCCTGCAAGACACAATAACAGATTGTAAGTAGGGTGAAATCAAATCCTAGACCCAATAGCATTATCCCATCTCATTGAAAATTCTCTTAAAAATCCAAGTTGTAAGATCCATATAATATTTCATCCACTGGATATACTGTTGTTTATAACCATTACTCTGTTGTTGAAGATTAAAATGTTTTTACTTTAGTTTTCTAATTAATATCTTTGTGTGCAAATATTTATCTCCTTTGATGGCTGTTTCCTTAGGATTCATTTCTAGAAGCTTTTTAAAGGCTCAAAGCTGGCTTTTTTCCAGCACATAGAATTTTAAAATAGAAAATTTTATATACTATTAACAAATCTCTTTTTCTTTAGGAGACACTTCTAAAGGAGGCATAGCTAAAGTTACTCAATCCAACTTGAAGTCAGGCATCACTACCACTCCTGTTGATTCAGACATTGGATCTCATTTATCCTTGTCCCTTGAGGACCTGTCTCAGTTGGCTGTAAGTTCTCCTCTAGAAACTACTACTGGTCAACACACTGATACTCTCAACCAAAAGACATTAGCAGATACTCATCTAACTGAAGAGACTCTGAAAGTCACAGCTATTCCTGAACCAGCTGACCAGAAGACTGCAACACCAACAGTACTCTCTAGTTCCCACTCACATAGGGGGAAGCCCAGCATTTTCTACCAGCAGGGCTTGCCAGACAGTCATCTAACTGAAGAGGCTTTGAAAGTTTCAGCTGCTCCTGGACTAGCTGACCAGACAACTGGCATGTCAACTCTAACCTCTACTTCCTACTCACATAGAGAGAAGCCTGGTACTTTTTACCAACAAGAGTTACCAGAGAGTAACTTAACCGAAGAGCCTTTGGAAGTTTCAGCTGCTCCTGGCCCAGTGGAGCAGAAGACGGGAATACCTACAGTATCCTCTACATCCCACTCACATGTAGAGGACCTCCTCTTTTTCTATCGACAGACCTTGCCAGATGGTCATCTAACTGATCAGGCTCTGAAAGTCTCAGCTGTGTCTGGACCAGCTGACCAGAAGACTGGGACAGCAACAGTACTCTCTACTCCCCACTCACATAGAGAGAAGCCTGGTATTTTTTACCAACAAGAGTTCGCAGACAGTCATCAAACTGAAGAGACTCTTACTAAAGTTTCAGCCACTCCTGGACCAGCTGACCAGAAGACTGAGATACCAGCAGTACAGTCTAGTTCTTACTCACAAAGAGAAAAGCCTAGTATTTTGTACCCACAGGACTTAGCAGACAGTCATCTACCTGAAGAGGGTCTGAAAGTTTCAGCTGTTGCTGGACCAGCTGACCAGAAGACTGGCCTACCAACAGTACCCTCTAGTGCATACTCACACAGAGAGAAGCTCCTTGTTTTCTACCAACAGGCCTTGCTGGACAGCCATCTACCCGAAGAGGCTCTGAAAGTTTCAGCTGTTTCTGGACCAGCTGACGGAAAGACTGGGACACCAGCTGTAACCTCTACTTCCTCTGCGTCCTCTTCACTTGGAGAAAAGCCCAGTGCTTTCTATCAGCAGACCTTACCCAATAGTCATCTAACTGAAGAGGCTCTGAAAGTATCAATTGTTCCTGGACCAGGTGATCAGAAGACTGGGATACCCTCAGCACCATCTAGTTTCTACTCACACAGAGAGAAGCCCATTATTTTTTCCCAGCAGACCCTGCCAGACTTTCTTTTCCCTGAAGAAGCTCTGAAGGTTTCAGCTGTTTCTGTATTGGCTGCCCAGAAGACTGGGACACCAACAGTGTCCTCTAATTCTCACTCACATAGCGAGAAATCTAGTGTTTTCTACCAGCAAGAGTTGCCAGACAGTGATCTACCTAGAGAATCTCTGAAAATGTCTGCTATTCCTGGACTGACTGACCAGAAGACTGTCCCAACACCAACAGTACCTTCAGGTTCCTTCTCACATAGAGAGAAGCCCAGTATTTTCTATCAACAGGAGTGGCCAGATAGTTATGCAACTGAAAAGGCTCTGAAAGTTTCAACTGGCCCTGGACCAGCTGACCAGAAGACTGAGATACCAGCAGTACAGTCTAGTTCTTACCCACAGAGGGAGAAGCCTAGTGTTTTGTACCCACAGGTGTTATCAGACAGTCATCTACCTGAAGAGAGTCTGAAAGTTTCAGCCTTCCCTGGACCAGCTGACCAGATGACTGACACACCAGCAGTACCGTCTACTTTCTACTCACAAAGAGAGAAGCCTGGTATTTTCTACCAACAGACCTTGCCAGAGAGTCATCTGCCTAAAGAGGCTCTGAAAATTTCAGTAGCTCCTGGACTAGCAGACCAGAAGACTGGCACACCAACTGTAACCTCAACTTCCTACTCACAACATAGAGAAAAGCCCAGCATTTTCCACCAGCAGGCCTTGCCAGGTACTCATATACCTGAAGAGGCTCAGAAAGTTTCAGCTGTTACTGGACCAGGTAACCAGAAGACTTGGATACCAAGAGTACTTTCTACCTTCTACTCACAAAGAGAGAAACCTGGTATTTTCTATCAACAGACCTTGCCAGGTAGTCACATACCTGAAGAGGCACAGAAAGTTTCACCTGTTCTTGGACCAGCTGACCAGAAGACTGGGACACCAACTCCAACCTCTGCTTCTTACTCACACACAGAGAAGCCTGGTATTTTCTACCAACAGGTCTTGCCAGATAATCATCCAACTGAAGAGGCTCTGAAAATTTCAGTTGCCTCTGAACCAGTTGACCAGACAACTGGCACACCAGCTGTAACCTCTACTTCCTACTCACAATATAGAGAGAAGCCCAGCATTTTCTACCAACAGTCGTTGCCAAGTAGTCATCTAACTGAAGAGGCTAAGAATGTTTCAGCGGTTCCTGGACCAGCTGACCAGAAGACTGTGATACCAATTTTACCCTCTACTTTCTACTCACACACAGAGAAGCCTGGTGTTTTCTACCAACAGGTCTTGCCACATAGTCATCCAACTGAAGAGGCTCTGAAAATTTCAGTTGCCTCTGAACCAGTTGACCAGACAACTGGCACACCAACTGTAACCTCTACTTCTTACTCACAACATACAGAGAAGCCGAGTATTTTCTACCAACAGTCGTTGCCAGGTAGTCATCTAACTGAAGAGGCTAAGAACGTTTCAGCGGTTCCTGGACCAGGTGACCGGAAGACTGGGATACCAACTTTACCCTCTACTTTCTACTCACACACAGAGAAGCCTGGTAGTTTCTACCAACAGGTCTTGCCACATAGTCATCTACCTGAAGAGGCTTTGGAAGTTTCAGTTGCTCCTGGACCAGTTGACCAGACGATTGGCACACCAACTGTAACCTCCCCTTCCAGCTCATTTGGAGAGAAGCCCATTGTTATCTACAAACAGGCCTTTCCAGAGGGTCATCTACCTGAAGAGTCTCTGAAAGTTTCAGTTGCTCCTGGACCAGTTGGCCAGACAACTGGCGCACCAACTATAACCTCTCCTTCCTACTCACAACATAGAGCAAAGTCTGGCAGTTTCTACCAACTGGCATTGCTAGGTAGTCAAATACCTGAAGAGGCTCTCAGAGTTTCTTCTGCTCCTGGACCAGCTGACCAGACAACTGGCATACCAACCATAACCTCTACTTCCTACTCATTTGGAGAGAAGCCGATTGTTAACTACAAACAGGCCTTTCCAGATGGTCATCTACCTGAAGAGGCTCTGAAAGTTTCCATTGTTTCTGGACCTACTGAAAAAAAGACTGACATACCAGCAGGACCTTTAGGTTCCAGTGCACTTGGAGAGAAGCCCATTACTTTCTACCGGCAGGCTCTGCTAGACAGTCCTCTAAATAAAGAGGTTGTGAAAGTTTCAGCTGCTCCTGGACCAGCTGACCAGAAGACTGAGACATTACCAGTACATTCTACTAGCTACTCAAATAGGGGGAAGCCTGTCATTTTCTACCAGCAGACCCTATCAGACAGTCATTTACCTGAAGAAGCTCTGAAAGTTCCACCTGTTCCTGGACCAGATGCCCAGAAGACTGAGACACCATCAGTATCCTCTAGTTTATACTCATATAGAGAGAAGCCCATTGTCTTCTACCAACAGGCCCTGCCAGACAGTGAGCTAACTCAAGAAGCTCTGAAAGTTTCAGCTGTTCCTCAACCAGCTGACCAGAAGACTGGGTTATCTACTGTAACTTCCTCTTTCTATTCACATACAGAGAAGCCTAATATTTCTTACCAGCAAGAGTTGCCAGATAGTCATCTAACTGAAGAGGCTCTGAAAGTTTCAAATGTTCCTGGACCAGCTGACCAGAAGACTGGGGTATCAACAGTAACCTCTACTTCCTACTCACACAGAGAGAAGCCCATTGTTTCCTACCAGCGAGAGTTGCCGCATTTTACTGAAGCAGGTTTGAAAATTTTAAGAGTTCCTGGACCAGCTGACCAGAAGACTGGAATAAACATCCTGCCCTCTAATTCCTACCCACAGAGAGAGCACTCTGTCATTTCTTATGAGCAGGAGTTGCCAGATCTTACTGAAGTAACTTTGAAAGCAATAGGGGTTCCTGGGCCTGCTGACCAGAAGACTGGGATACAAATAGCATCCTCTAGTTCCTACTCAAATAGAGAGAAGGCCAGTATTTTTCATCAGCAGGAGTTGCCAGATGTTACTGAAGAAGCTTTAAATGTTTTTGTTGTTCCTGGACAAGGTGACCGGAAGACTGAGATACCAACAGTACCTTTAAGTTACTACTCACGTAGAGAGAAGCCCAGTGTTATCTCTCAACAGGAGTTGCCAGACAGTCATCTCACAGAAGAGGCTCTGAAAGTTTCACCTGTTTCTATACCAGCAGAGCAGAAGACTGGGATACCAATAGGACTGTCTAGTTCCTACTCACATTCACATAAAGAGAAACTCAAGATTTCAACTGTGCATATACCAGATGACCAGAAAACTGAGTTTCCAGCAGCTACCCTTAGTTCCTACTCACAAATAGAGAAGCCCAAGATTTCAACTGTGATTGGACCAAATGACCAGAAGACTCCATCCCAGACAGCTTTTCATAGTTCCTATTCTCAAACAGTAAAGCCCAATATTTTATTTCAACAGCAGTTGCCAGATAGAGATCAAAGTAAAGGTATTCTAAAGATTTCAGCTGTCCCTGAACTAACTGATGTGAATACTGGAAAACCAGTATCTCTCTCTAGTTCTTATTTTCACAGAGAGAAATCGAATATTTTCAGTCCACAGGAATTGCCAGGTAGTCATGTAACTGAAGATGTGCTGAAGGTTTCAACAATTCCTGGACCAGCTGGCCAGAAAACAGTATTACCAACAGCTCTTCCTAGTTCCTTTTCACATCGAGAGAAACCAGATATTTTCTATCAAAAGGATTTGCCAGATAGACATCTAACTGAAGATGCTCTAAAGATCTCAAGTGCTCTTGGGCAAGCTGATCAAATTACCGGATTACAAACAGTTCCCTCTGGTACTTACTCACATGGTGAGAATCACAAGCTTGTTTCAGAACATGTCCAAAGGCTAATAGATAATTTGAATTCTTCTGACTCCAGTGTTAGCTCAAATAATGTGCTTTTAAATTCTCAGGCTGATGACAGAGTTGTAATAAATAAACCAGAATCTGCAGGTTTTAGAGATGTTGGCTCTGAAGAAATCCAGGATGCAGAAAATAGTGCTAAAACTCTTAAGGAAATTCGGACACTTTTGATGGAGGCAGAAAATATGGCACTGAAACGATGCAATTTTCCTGCTCCCCTTGCCCGTTTCAGAGATATTAGTGATATTTCATTTATACAATCTAAGAAGGTGGTTTGCTTCAAAGAACCCTCTTCCACGGGTGTATCTAATGGTGATTTGCTTCACAGACAGCCATTCACAGAGGAAAGCCCAAGCAGCAGGTGCATACAGAAGGATATTGGCACACAGACGAATTTGAAATGCCGGAGAGGCATTGAAAATTGGGAGTTTATTAGTTCAACTACAGTTAGAAGTCCTCTACAGGAAGCAGAGAGCAAAGTCAGTATGGCATTAGAAGAAACTCTTAGGCAATATCAAGCAGCCAAATCTGTAATGAGGTCTGAACCTGAAGGGTGTAGTGGAACCATTGGGAATAAAATTATTATCCCTATGATGACTGTCATAAAAAGTGATTCAAGTAGTGATGCCAGTGATGGAAATGGTTCCTGCTCGTGGGACAGTAATTTACCAGAGTCTTTGGAATCAGTTTCTGATGTTCTTCTAAACTTCTTTCCATATGTTTCACCCAAGACAAGTATAACAGATAGCAGGGAGGAAGAGGGTGTGTCAGAGAGTGAGGATGGTGGTGGTAGCAGTGTAGATTCACTGGCTGCACATGTGAAAAACCTTCTGCAATGTGAATCCTCACTGAATCATGCTAAAGAAATACTCAGAAATGCAGAGGAAGAGGAAAGCCGGGTACGAGCACATGGTAAGAAGAAAGTTTCAGGCTTATAAACGTTATAGTTTAATAATGTGTTTAAAGTTAGATATTTATGTTTTGAGGAAGCTTAGCCAATGAAAAATACAAGCAAGATCAAGAAAAAAAATGAAGTTAGATATTTGGAGTTCTAAATGTATTTTCCAATAGAATTGTTAGAATGACTATATTTCTTCTAACAATCCATAAAAAGCCTATTTAACCAATAATGTAGTTAAGTTACAGTATTAATAGTACCAGCCTGAGTTTACGTTCTTGTTCTTAGGAGAAGTAGATTCTGATGTATGACAGAGAGTAAAGAGGTCGCTTGGGCTCCTGAGCTCCTAAAGCTATCACGTTTCTCTAATCCTCCCATTATAGTATCCTTATTCTGAAGGCAGAAAGAGCCTCCAATTTGCTGTGCTCTAAATTGCTTTTTGTCCTAAAACTACATATATTTTCTCTTTCCCTTTTCTAATAGAACTCTTGGTGTTGATCTCAGACATTTGAAAAAAAAATCAATGTATTTTATACTAAAACTTGGGTTAGAGGTTTAAAAGAGAATATTTACAAATCTCATTAATTTCTAATAGAATTCCATTAAAAACAAAAATCTGTAAGACAATATGGGGAATATATTTTGGGAGGCAATTTAAAAGCAATTTAGGCCTACCTAGAAATCGTCCCTTGAGGTTAACTTCCTACGCTGTTCCCTGCACATTTTTATTCTACAAAAAAACCTCCAAGTTGTATTTATTACTTTTAAATATCAGCTGTCATGGAATTATGAGTAATTGTAGCAGGAACTAAAGGGAGAGGTAAAGAAACTCATGATTAAAAGGAGGATTAAGATAAATATGATTGATTACCCGATTTAAAGTGGCTTTTTTGTAGAATTATCTATAGAGCATGACTTAAGAAAATCAGACTTTGCAGTGAAAGGATCTCTGTCAAGAATTTCTAATAGGTTGTCATAATTGAGAAGAAGACATACTAAGCATTGCAGTGGGTATTAAATTGCATATATTGATGATCTTCTGTGTTGCAATTGTTGACAAATTATCACTTTTGCATTGTATTATCTCAAGTGTATGCTTTCTCTCCAGCCTGGAATATGAAGTTCAATTTAGCACATGATTGTGGATACTCCATTTCAGAATTAAATGAAGATGACAGGAGGAAAGTAGAAGAGATCAAGGCAGAGTTATTTGGTCATGGAAGAACAACTGACTTGTCCAAGGTATAAAAGAAATCTGGAAATGAAGAAAGTAAATATGAAAGAATGGGTGATGGAATTAGGATCTCTTACTTGGGCATCAGTTGAGTTGCTGATAATATTTGGCTAAAGCCTTTTTTGGTTTTGTTTTTGAGACAGTCTTGCTCTGTTGCCCAGGCTGAAGTGCAGCAGTGCAATCACAGGTCACTGCAGCCCTGAACTCTTAGACTCAAGGAATCCTCCCACCTCAGCCTCTCAGGTAGCTGGGACCACATGTGTGTACCGCCCTGCTCGGCTAATTTTTAAATTTTTGGCAGAGACAGGGTCTCTACGTTGCCCAGGCTGGTCTTGAACGCTTGGATTCAAGCGATCCTCTTGCCTTGGCCTCCCAAAATGCTGGGATTACAGGCATGAGCCACTGTGCCTAGGCAGGCATCTTAATTTTTCAAAAGTTAAGATATAAGTATTAGATTCTTACAGTCTAGATATGTTGTTTTTATTGATTCCAAATTCATATTTTGAAAAATTTATCTTCTTAGAAAAATAAGAACTGATTTGCTTGTTTTATCAATTTTTTTTTTAAGAACAGAGAAGACTAAATGTCACCCTTATTTTCTCTTGAAAGTGGTATCTTGAAATCCAGCTATTTTCAAATGTTTATTTTAAATACTTGAGTACACAGCTATAATAGCTTATGTATAAATGGCTTTCATTTTAATAGTACATATTTTCCTTCTATTAACTATTTCATATGTAGAAAAGAGCATATATGAATCATTTATGTAAAGAATAGCAGCAAGTAAAAATAATTCCCATATATTTACTATCGAGCTTGAGAAATAGAACATTACCAAATACTGTTGAAGTTCTTTGTTTCTCCTTTCCCAGTCATATCTTTTTTATTTCTTATTTTGATATATAATGATTTTCCTTCTCTTCAGTATGGTTTTGAACTCTAAGATGGAATCAATATGATACATATTCTTTTGAGAACTAGGTGTTTCACACAGTGTTAGGGTTTTGAGCTGCTTCTATGTAGATGTGCAGAGTTTTCATTTGTTCCTTATTACTGTACAGTATTCCAGTGTGTGATTACATGATAATTTATTCTTTCTCCTGTGGATAAGGCATTTTGTCTGCTATTTTGCATAGTAATAGGGTATAATAATGCCTATCGTAGAGGGTTTTGGTGTGGATTATGTGAGATAATGCCTATAAAATGCTTAGTAGAACGTGTGATGTCTAGTTAGTACTCAGTAACTGGCAGCTATTATTACTATTATTAATCCTGAAAGAATTGATATAGCTATCATGCAAGGATTTCATGGCCTGATTCATACAAAGTTTCTTAGAAAACTATTCTCCAGTGATATAGTTTATTTGGATTATCTCAATTTTGGAAAAGTTTGAAAAGTACAAATTAGATTGGATTTTAGGTTTTACGTATATGCTTGTGAAAAACAAAATTGACAAAATAATAAGAATAATAAAATGGGCAATTGGTTGTCTTAGCACCATTTGTATATATGCTGCCAAAGTGAGCACTATCCTAGCATCATTTGTTTAAAATTACATAGTTTTCTCAGTGATCTGTGTTTCCCTATTTTTAAAAATTATTTTCTTGCGTTCATATTTCCAGATCCCTCAGCAAGCAAGTTGCCTTCCTTTGGGTAGACTCTGGTTTGTCTGTGTTTTTCTTAAAATAAGGTGTCCTGAATTAGATGAAACACAATTTCACTTCTGATCTGACCAGCATGAAGTATATTCAGTAATTCTCTTTCTGTCAATGTACTGTGAGATCTTTAATGGTCACAGCATAATTGGGCATTAAAAAAAACCATGTACTGCTTTCAAAACTTAAAGCTGTAGGAAAAAAGCAAAGCAAAACAAACCAAACAAAAACCATGAACTGCTGCCAAGATTCCTATTCTCATTTCTTGTATCTATATAATACTTTTTTAAAAATCTTCTTATTTTTGAGACAGAGTCTCACTTTATTGCCCAGGCTGGACTGCAGTGGCATGATCTTGGCTCACTGCAACTTCTACATCCCAGGTTCAAGTGATTCTCCTGCCTCAGCCTCCCGGGTAGCTGGGATTACAGCTGTGTGAGTGGCGCATGACACCACATCCAGCTGATCTTTGTATTTTTAGTAGAGATGGGGTTTCACTATGTTGGCCAGGCTGGTCTTGAACTCCTGACCTCAAGTGATCCGCCTGCCTCGGCCTCCCAAAATGCTGGGATTACAGGCCATTACGCCTCGCCCTATGTAATACTTTTTAACTCTCCTGTATTTCTTTTTATTGCTTTTATATCAGTGTTCAAGCCTATTGGAATGATTTTTAATCAAATTTGATCATTTATTTTATTAAAATATCCCTTTCAGCTTTGTGCCATTTATATATTTGATAAGTATTTTTATCCAAATTAGCAATAAAAATGTTTACTAAGGGCTATGGATAAAAAGTCTAAAACTTTTGGCTGGGCGCGGTGGCTCATGCCTGTAATCCTAGCACTTTGGGAAGCCAAGGTGGGTGGATCACTTGAGGTCAGGAGTTCGAGACCAGCCTGGCCGACGTGGTGAAACCCCGTCTCTACTAAAAATACAAAAATTACCTGGGTGTCATGGTGCATGCCTGTAATCCTAGCTACTCGGGAAGCTGAGGCAGGAGAATTGCTTGAACCTGGGAGGTGGAGATTGTAGTGAGCCGAAGATTGTGCCAGTGCACTCCAGCCTAGGCGACAGAGGGAGACTTTGTCTCAAAAAAAAAAAAAAAAAAAAGGTCTAAAACTTTTGAATAAGATTACTCTCACACCTATTTTGAGTACTTCACTATACTGTCATTCAACCATCTTGTGTTTCACCATCTTATGATTGACTTTTTTCAGTCTATTAACTGAGTAGTTGCGAAATAGTGTTTGTCTAGATATGCCTTGTCCTTAGGGAACCCATATTGGCCACACTGTGTACGGTTTTGGACCTTTTATTTTTTTAACTTAAATATATTAGGATTTCCCTTTAAAACTTCTCTAAAAGCATAATTTCACAGGTATGTAATATCCCATTGTATGAACATAACAATTTATTCACTACCCTACTGTTGGACATTTATTCATTCATTCCAAAAATACATATTGAATGCCTGATATGCGCCATCCTCATCTATAGCCTGAGGACACACCACTGAACAAAATAGACAAACATTTCTTCATCATGAGCTTACATTAAGGAAGAGTATATGAATAACAACCAAACAAGTAAAATAAATGTCAGATGGTGGGATAAGAGCCAGGGAGACAAAGCAGAATGGTCAACACAGAACCTGAGAAAGAGGTATTGAATTAAATATCTGAGTAAGGTGAGAAAGTAAGGCAGTTAACAGTGACAAGAGCATTCCAGACAGAAATAGCATGCACACAGTTGCTGAGGTAAAGTGTGTGAAAGGAAAGGGAGTGTTAAAGGAAAGGGAGGAGGCCAGTGTGTTTGGAGAGTGAGAGTGAAAGGGAGAAGACTAGATTGTGGAAGGCAGTGGTTCTTGACGGGTAGTAAATGCCTCCCAAAGAGATATTTTGGAAAATTATGTGATTTTTCTTGGGTCATCACTGTAATTGGGGATTGTTTCTGGAATGCAGTAGATAGGTGTCAGGTATGTTACTATTTCTATAATGTACAAGACAGTTCCACACAATGAAGAGTTGTCCCTTGTCACATACAGCTTTTGAATGTCCCTGTAGATATTAATGTTGATGAAAAACCTGTTATAAATTACTTCAGTGTTTGTCATGTTTTAAATGATTTTTTTTTTAGTATAGGGTGTTTCTTCTGTTTTTTCTTTCTTTCATGACTGACATTTTTGAAGAGTACAACCTAGTTACTTTGCAGATTTCCCTCAAATTGAATTTATCTGGTGTTTTATCATGATTTGATTCAGATTTGATTTTTATGTAGGAAAGCCACAGAAGTGATGTGCTTTTCATGCTTGTCAGGAGGCACATTATGTTGATTTGTCTCAATACTTGTAATGTTAACTCATACCACTTAGTTAAGGTGGTATCTGCTGGTTTGTGTGTTTTACATATTAATTAATAAGTTAATAAATATTAGGGAGAGATTCTTTGAGACTGTAAATATCTCTAGTTTAGGATCTAGTGTTTATACTTGCCTGAATAATTTATTAATAAAATAGCTTTAATTTGGTTATTGAAAAAAATTCCATCATTGCTTCAACATTTCATTGGAGTTCTGTGGTAAGTTAAAAGTGTCCCTTCTCCATTTATTTATTTATATCATTATGGACTCTTGGATTTTTCGTTTACTCAAAGGGTCACAACCTATCACTATCATTGTTTATTTTGATACTCAAATTATCCCACACTTGCCCACTGGAACCATTTTAAGCTGGTTCCTGTGTGTTCTTATGATCCCATCATTTCATGAGCATTCACCCACTTTCTGAGCTAGGAAGACACTCTAGGAATATCTTATATTTTCTTTTCACCAACCCTAGAGCTGTCCATTTCTCCAAGGGGCGCTGGTTCTTTTTAGCAGAGAGTGGCATGTAGAAACTAAGATCTGTATGCTTGGTGTGCTTATTGATACTATGATGCTGTTGCCTTTATGCCCTTTCAGCAGACAATGTGTGTGTACATAATTACACGCACCCCCCTCTCCCCTGTAGGCCTGTTTCCTTATCTATTACTTTTATTATAAAATGAGAGCTGAGTTTATACTAGTACATCCAATTCCATTCCAGTACTACAGGGTTATTCTAGCCTTTTTTTCTTTCTTTATTTGTAACTCACTTCCCTGATAGTAAGAAACTTGGCTCCCATTATCCTCCATATATTTACTTGTTTAAACTCCCTTGTATGTTTCTCCCTCAGCCCCACTGCTCTTCATGCCTGCAACAGATTGAATTTCTTTCCCAGCCCCAACTCTTTCAACCCACAAGTTTTATATGTAATATAATTATTATTATACCATTCCAGATATTTTTAAATTTCCATTATGATTTCTTTCAACAATGAATGGTGATATATTAGGATGATACCTTCAGTGTGCTGAAAGAAAATAAATTATATCTATCTAGAATTGCATGTCAGTGAAAATCTGTTTTAAGAATGTGGTAATATAAAAATGATTTTAGACAAAAACAGTTCATTCAGCACTCATTAAAAAATTCGGGTGGAGCCAAGATGGCCAAATAGGAACAGCTCCGGTCTACAGCTCCCAGTGTGAGCAACGCAGAAGACTGGTGATTTCTGCATTTCCATCTGAGGTACCGGGTTCATCTCACTAGGGAGTGCCAGACAGTGGGTGTAGGACAGTGGGTGCAGCGCACCATTCACAAGCCGAAGCAGGGCGAGGCATTGCCTCACTCGGGAAGTGCAAGGGGTCAGGGAGTTCCCTTTCCTAGTCAAAGAAAGGGGTGACAGACGGCACCTGGAAAATCGCATCACTCCCACACTAATACTGCGCTTTTCCGACGGGCTTAAAAAACGGCACACCAGGAGATTATATCCCGCACATGGCTCGGAGGGTCCTACGCCCACAGAGTCTCGCTGATTGCTAGCACAGCAGTCTGAGATCAAACTGCAAGGCAGCAGCGAGGCTGGGGGAGGGGCGCCTGCCATTGTGCAGGCTTGATTAGGTAAACAAAGCAGCCTGGAAGCTCGAACTGGGTGGAGCCCACTACAGCTCAAGGAGGCCTGCCTGCCTCTGTAGGCTCCACCTCTGGGGGCAGGGCATAGCCAAACAAAAGGCAGCAGTAACCTCTGTAGACTTAAATGTCCCTGTCTGACAGCTTTGAAGAGAGTAGTGGTTCTCCCAGCACGCAGCTGGAGATGTGAGAATGGGCAGACTGCCTCCTCAAGTGGGTCCCTGACCCCCAAGCAGCCTAACTGGGAGGCACCCCCCAGGAGGGGCAGACTGACACCTCACACGACCGGGTACTCCTCTGAGACAAAACTTCCAGAGGAATGATCAGGCAGCAGCATTTGCGGTTCACCAATATCCGCTGTTCTACAGTCACTGCTGTTGTGCAGCCACCGCTGCTGATACCCAGGCAAACAGGGTCTGGAGTGGACCTCTAGCAAACTCCCAACAGACCTGCAGCTGAGGGTCCTGTCTGTTAGAAGGAAAACTAACAAACAGAAAGGACATCCACACCAAAAACCCATCTGTACGTCACCATCATCAAAGACCAAAGGTAGATAAAACCACAAAGATGCAGAAAAAACAGAGCAGAAAAACTGGAAACTCTAAAAAGCAGAGCGCCTCTCCTCCTCCAAAGGAACGCAGCTCCTCAGCAGCAACGGAACAAAGCTGGATGGACAATGACTTTGAAGAGTTGAGAGAAGAAGGCTTCAGATGATCAAACTACTCCGAGCTACAGGAGGAAATTCAAACCAATGGCAAAGAAGTTAAAAACTTTCAAAAAAATTAGACGAATGGATACCTAGAATAACCAATGCAGAGAAGTCCTTAAAGGAGCTGATGGAGCTAAAAGCAAAGGCGCGAGAACCATGTGAAGAATGCAGAAGCCTCAGGAGCTGATGCGATCAACTGGAAGAAAGGGTATCAGTGATGGAAGATGAAATGAATGAAATGAAGCGAGAAGGGAAGTTTAGAGAAAAAAGAATAAAAAGAAACGAACAAAGCCTCCAAGAAATATGGGACTATGTGAAAAGACCAAATCTACGTCTGATTGGTGTACCTGAAAGTGACAGGGAGAATGGAACCAAGTTGGAAAACACTCTGCAGGATATTATCCGGGAGAACTTCCCCAATCTAGCAAGGCAGGCCAACATTCAGATTCAGGAAATACAGAGAACGCCACAAAGATACTCCTCGAGAAGAGCAACTCCAAGACACATTAATTGTCAGATTCACCAAAGTTGAAATGAAGGAAAAAATGTTAAGGACAGCCAGAGAGAAAGGTCGGATTACCCACAAAGGGAAGCCCATCAGACTAACAGCGGATCTCTCGGCAGAAACCCTATAAGCCAGAAGAGAGTGGGGGCCAATATTCAACATTCTTAAAGAAAAGAATTTTCAACCCAGAATTTCATATCCAGCGAAACTAAGCTTCATAAGTGAAGGAGAAATAAAATCCTTTACAGACAAGCAAATGCTGAGAGATTTTGTCACCACCAGGCCTGCCCTAAAAGAGCTCCTGAAGGAAGCGCTAAACATGGAAAGGAACAACTGGTACCAGCCACTGCAAAAACATGCCAAAATGTAAAGACTGTCAAGGCCAGGAAGAAACTGCATCAACTAATGAGCAAAATAACCAGCTAACATCATAATGACAGGACCACATTCACACATAACAATATTAACTTTAAATGTAAATGGACTAAATGCTCCAATTAAAAGGCAAAGACTGGCAAATTGGATAAAGAGTCAAGACCCATCAGTGTGCTGTATTCAGGAAACCCATCTCATGTGCAGAGACACACATAGGCTCAAAATAAAGAGATGGAGGAAGATCTACCAAGCAAATGGAAAACAAAAAAAGGCAGGGGTTGCAATCCTAGTCTCTGATAAAACAAACTTTAAACCAACAAAGATCAAAAGAGACAAAGAAGGCCATTACATAATGGTAAAGGGATCAATTCAACAAGAAGAACTAACTATCTTAAATATATATGCACCCAATACAGGAGCACCCAGATTCATAAAGCAAGTCCTTAGTGACCTACAAAGAGACTTAGACTCCCACACAATAACAATGGGAGACTTTAACACCCCACTGTCAACATTAGACAGATCAACGAGACAGAAAGTTAACAAGGATACCCAGCAATTGAATTCAGCTCTGCACCAAGCAGACCTAATAGACATCTACAGAACTCTCCACCCCAAATCAACAGAACATACATTTTTCTCAGCACCACACCGCACCTATTCCAAAACTGACCACGTAGTTGGAAGTAAAGCACTCTCAGCAAATAGAAAAGAAATTATAACAAACTATCTCTCAGACCACAGTGCAATCAAATTGGAACTCAGGATTCAGAATCTCACTCAAAACCGCTCAACTACCTGGAAACTGAATAACCTGCTCCTGAATGACTACTGGGTACATAACGAAATGAAGGCACAAATAAAGATGTTCTTTGAAACCAACGAGAACAAAGACACAACATACCAGAATCTCTGGGACACATTCAAAGCAGTGTGTAGAGGGAAATTTATAGCACTAAATGCCCACAAGAGAAAGCAGGAAAGATCCAAAATTGACACCCTAACATCACAATTAAAAGAACTAGAAAAGCAAGAGCAAACACATTCAAAAGCTAGCAGAAGGCAAGAAATAACTAAAATCAGAGCAGAACTGAAGGAAATAGAGACACAAAAAACCCTTCAAAAAATTAATGAATCCAGGAGCTGGTTTTTTGAAAGGATCAACAAAAGACCGCTAGCAAGACTAATAAAGAAAAAAAGAGAGAAGAATCAAATAGACACAATTAAAAATGATAAAGGGGATATCACCACCGATCCCACAGAAATACAAACTACCATCAGAGAATACTACAAACACCTCTATGCAAATAAACTAGAAAATCTAGAAGAAATGGACAAATTCTTTGACACATACACCCTCCCAAGACTAAACCAGGAAGAAGTTGACTCTCTGAATAGACCAATAACAGGATCTGAAATTGAGGCAATAATCAATAGCTTACCAACCAAAAAAAGTCCAGGTCCAGATGGAATCACACTGAATTCTACCAGAGGTACAAAGAGGAGCTGGTACCATTCCTTCTGAAACTATTCCAATCAATAGAAAAAGAGGGAATCCTCCCTAACTCATTTTATGAGGCCAGCATCATTCTGATACCAAAGCCAGGCAGAGACACAACCAAAAAAGAGAATTTTAGACCAATATCCCTGATGAACATTGATGCAAAAATCCTCAATAAAATACTGGCAAACTGAATCCAGCAGCACATCAAAAAGCTTATCCACCATGATCAAGTGGGCTTCATCCCTGGGATGCAAGGCTGGTTCAACATATGCAAATCAATAAACGTAATCCAGCATATACACAGAACCAAAGACAAAAACCACATGATTATCTCAATAGATGCAGAAAAGGCCTTTGACAAAATTCAACAACCCTTCATGCTAGAAACTCTCAATAAATGAGGTATTGATGGGATGTATCTCAAAATAATAAGAGCTATCTATGACAAACCCACAGCCAATATCATACCGAATGGGCAAAAACTGGAAGCATTCCCTTTGAAAACAGGCACAAGACAGGGGTGCCCTCTCTCACCACTCCTATTCAACATAGTGTTGGAAGTTCTGGCCAGGGCAGTTAGGCAGGAGAAGGAAATAAAGGGTATTCAATTAGGAAAAGAGGAACTCAAATTGTCCCTGTTTGCAGATGACATGATTGTATATCTAGAAAACCCCGTTGTCTCAGCCCAAAATCTCCTTAAGCTGATAAGCAACTTCAGCAAAGTCTCAGGATACAAAATCAATGTACAAAAATCACAAGCATTCTTATACACCAACAGCAGACAAAGAGCGAGCCAAATCATGAGTGAACTCCCATTCACAGTTGCTTCAAAGAGAGTAAAATACCTAGGAATCCAACTTACAAGGGATGGAAGGACTTCTTCAAGGAGAACTACAAACCACTGCTCAATGAAATAAAAGAGGATACAAACAAATGGAAGAACATTCCATGCTCATGGGTAGGAAGAATCAATATCGTGAAAATGGCCATACTGCCCAAGGTAATTTATAGATTCAATGCCATCCCCATCAAGCTACCAGTGGTAATTTATAGATTCAATGCCATCCCCATCAAGCTACCGGTGACTTTCTTCACAGAATTGGAAGAAACTACTTTAAAGTTCATATGGAACCAAAAAAGAGCCTGCATCGCCAAGTCAATCCTAAGCCAAAAGAACAAAGCTGGAGGCATCACACTACCTGACTTCAAACTATACTACAAGGCTACAGTAACCAAAACAGCATGGTACTGGTACCAAAACAGAGATATAGATCAATGGAACAGAACAGAGCCCTCAGAAATAATGCCACATATCTACAACCATCTGATCTTTGACAAACCTGACAAAAACAAGAAATGGGGAAAGGATTCCCTATTTAATAAATGGTGCTGGGAAAACTGGCTAGCCATATGTAGAAAGCTGAAACTGGATCCCTTCCTTACACCGTATACAAAAATTAATTCAAGATGGATTAAAGACTTACATGTTAGTCCGAAAACTGTGAAAACCCTAGAAGAAAACCTAGGCAATACCATTCAGGACATAGGCATGGGCAAAGACTTCATGTCTAAAACACCAAAAGCAATGGCAACAAAAGCCAAAATTGACAAATGGGATCTAATTAAACTAAAGAGTTTCTGCACAGCAAAAGAAACTACCATCAGAGTGAAGAGGAAACCTACAAAATGGGAGAAAATTTTCGCAACCTACTCATCTGACAAAGGGCTAATATCCAGAATCTACAATGAACTCAAACAAATTTACAAGAAAAAAACAACCCCATCAAAAAGTGGGTGAAGGATATGAACAGACACTTCTCAAAAGAAGACATTTATGCAGGCAAAAAACACATGAAAAAATGCTCATCATCACTGGACATCAGAGAAATGCAAATCAAAACCACAATGAGATACCATCTCACACCAGTTAGAATGGCGATCATTAAAAAGTCAGGAAACAACAGGTGCTGGAGAGGATGTGGAGAAATAGGAACACTTTACACTGTTGGTGGGACTATAAACTAGTTCAACCACTGTGGAAGTCAGTGTGTCGATTCCTCAGGGATCTAGAACTGGAAATACCATTTGACCCAGCCATCCCATTTCTGGGTATATACCCAAAGGATTATAAATCGTGCTGCTATAAAGACACATACACATGTACGTTTATTGCGGCACTATTCACAATAGCAAATACTTGGAACCAACCCAAATGTCCAAGAATGATAGACTGGATTAAGAAAATGTGGCACATATACACCATGGAATACTATGCAGCCATAAAAAATGATGAGTTCATGTCCTTTGTAGGGACATGGATGAAACTGGAAACCATCATTCTCAGCAAGCTATCTCAAGGACAAAAAACCAAACACCACATGTTCTCACTCATAGGTGGGAATTGAACAATGAGAACACATGGACACAGGAAGGGGAACATCACACTCTGGGGCCTGTTGTGGGGTGGGGGGAGGGGGGAGGGGGGAGGGATAGCATTTGGAGATATACCTAATGTTAAATGACGAGTTAATGGGTGCAGCACACCAACATGGCACTTGTATACATATGTAACAAACCTGCACATTGTGCACATGTACCCTAAAACTTAAAGTATAATAATAATAAAATAAAAAAATTCTAAGTGGTTACCTCAGACTAAACGGAAATAATCTAATATGGGAAATTTGTGATGTAGGAAATATTAAAGAGCAAAAGATGTGTTAAGTATGTGGATAAATAAAGCTAAATACTTAAGTATATGAAACAAAAATACTAGGACCTTCATGACTGAGATGAAATGTTATAAACTTAAAATATATGACAACAATATCTTACAGGTTAGAAGCTGCATAAATGGAGTTAATTTTTTCCAAGTTTCTTAAGTGTTTGGGAAAAAGCTGTTATTTACTTTAGCTTGATAACTATATGTGTTATAATTTCTATAATAACCCTGTCCCCTACATCATACCTTACTACAAAATTAATTTGAGATGGATCATAGACTTTACTTTGAAAGGTAAAATAAAGTTTCTTGAAAATCTCTTCATGATGTTGGGTTAGGCAAAGGTTTCTTAAACAAGAACAAAAATACACTTCATAAAAGAAAGGATTGCTAAATTGCTCTTCATGAAAGTTAAGAATGGTAATCAAAAGGCAGCATGAAGAGTGAAAAGTCAAGCTACACAGTGGAAGAGGGTATTTCGGATACATATATTTGATAAAGGACATAAATTCAGAATATATAAGGAAGTCATGCAAATCAATTATTCCTACCCAAAGACTTCACTAGGTGTCTCATAAATGAAGATATCCAAGTGGACAGTAAGCATTTGAAAACATTGTCAATATCACTGCCTGTTTGGTAATGCAAGTTAACCATAATGAGATACTGCTTCATATCAGAGTAGCTAAAATTAAAAAGAACAATGCTAAATATTGGTAAAGTTATGAAGCAACTGGAATAGTCATTTATTGCTGATGGGAAGGTAAACTGGTACACAACTCTTAAAATAATTTATAGTTATTTCATAATGGTAAACATGCCTTACCTGGGACACTTCATTCCTACTTCTTTTTAGGTACGTACTCAAGAACTATCAGTACATATGTTCAGTAGAAGACATGGTCAATAATAATTATAGCCCCAAACTGAAAACTACATAAATGTATATCAAGAGTAGAATAGATGAATCAATTATGCTTTATTCATCCAGTGAAATCCTGTGTAGCCATAAAAGATAGCAAACTACTACTGCCTCAACAACCTTGAAAGCTGTCACACACGTTATGGTTAGCAAAAAAGCCAGACACAAAGAGTCATACTGAATAATTCCATTCATATGAAATTCAAAAACTAATCAATGGTGAGAAAAGTGATAAGAATGGTTACCTCTGGTGGAGTCAGGTGTGTGGTATTGACTGGGAAGACGCACAAGAGGTCTTCTCAGGTATAGGAAGTTTTTGTATATCTGGATATGGGCAGCATTTACATTGCTGTCATCACATATAAAAAATAAACTACCTGACTTCAGATTTGTACACCTTATTAAAGATTTATTATATATTAATTAAAAGGAAACATTGAACAAGAGATACAATTGAAATCATAGAAAAGGAACTTTAAGAAGGCAACCATTTCTAATCATAGCAAAAACTTTATAAAAAGCATCAAGGCATAAATCTAACAAGATTTATGAGATCTTTTATTGGAGAATAGTAAAATTTATTTTGAAAGGCTAGTAGAAGTCCTAAGTACATAGAGAAATACACTGTATTTATTAATAAGACTCTATATCCACCTAGCACAAACTGCTTCAATGAATCAAGGCAGATGTTTCTTTAAATTTTTTTTATCATGGTAAAATACACAACACAAAATTTACCTCAACTGTTTTTAAGTGTACAGTTTACTGGTGTTAAGTACATTCATATTGTTGTGCAACCACCACCACCATCCGTCTCCAAGACTCTTTTCATCTTGTAAAACTGAAACTTATACCCATTAAATAATAACTTCTCATTCTGTCTTCCCATCTGCCCCAGGCAGCCACCATTTTCCTTTTTGTCTCATATGATTTTGATTACTCTGAGTACTTCCTATAAATGGAATAATACAATATTTGTCTTTTTGTGACTGGCTTATTTCACTTAGCCTCATGTGGTTCATCCATGTTGTAGCATATGTTATAATTTTGTAAAGTGAGTCTGTTGTAGACAGTATATAGTTGGATCATTCTGCCAATCTCTATTGATTAAATTTATTTACTTTTAAAGTAATTAACAATAAGGAGGAACCTGCTTCTGTCCTTTTTCTATTTGTTTTCTACATCAAGGTACAAATTTTATGTTCAGATACAATTCCAAACCACGATGAGGATTTATCTTAACTGTCCTCTACCCCACAGAAATGCAGAGGCCAACAAATCACATTTGTAGGCTCCTAAAGGAAACTCTCTTAGATTGCTTGTCAAAAACTGTTGAGATCATTTTGGCCCCTTCCATGCTATGAGAACGAGATCCACACTGTACCCAATGATTTACTGACTTCTCTCGGCAGAATACTGTCTCTTCTCCTTCTCTCTTCTGTTTGGTAATGAAGAGAAGAAAAGTTTGAAGTCAGTACTTTATATCATTTAGTATATGGACCAATAACTCAACAAGTTTAGAAAAAAAAACCATGAAGTAAACTTTACTTATACTCTAAAATAAACCAAACCAAACTACGAAAGTAGTAAGGAGGAAATTATAAAATAAAATCTATCAGTTAATGAACTAGAAAACAGAAAAATGATAGAATTGAGCATTAAAATCTAGATTTGGACCTTGGAAAAATTCCAAATCAGCAGACAAGTTCTGACTAGCTAGAAGATGAGAAGGAAAAACATACAATGTGGTAAATGAAAAGGAGCATGCCAGATATACCACTTAGAAAATTTGAAATAATAGGAGAATATAATGTATAACATATAACTCTCGTTAGGTATAAAATTTTCATGAAATGACTGATTTTCTTAGATAATATAATTAAACAGAAGCGTGTAACAGATTAAACATTATGAGAGAGAAAAACTTTATTGATCAAACATTTGGCTTCCAAGAAAAGTACCTGACCTAGCTCAATATTAGGTAACATTATGAAGTATTTCCTGGGCATGATAATGACATTGTGGTTATATGATAGGTGAATTATTTAGGGTCGAAGTGTCAAATCAGTGTCTTTGTGGAGGGATAAAGCTTTGTGGAGGGATAGGGGAAAATGTTCGACAATTGTTGAATCTAAATAGAAGGAATTCACATGTTTATTTTAACATTCTATCAACTTTTTGGTATACTCTTAACAAAAAGAAAAAAACAATGCCTGACTTAGATGTTTATATGGGTGACTCAAGCTATCAAGTAATGGATAACTCCTGTGCCATATAAACAGTTCCAATACACTAACAAAAACTTCCTAATTTACTTGAGGACATTAACAAAAACCTCAGAAGACATACCTGAAATTATGAATCTTTTGCATCAGTGTGATGTCTCCACTTTTATTTCTGATTTTATTTATTTGAGTCTTCTAGTTTTTTCTTAGTCTAGCTAAATGTTTGTTAACATTGTTTTTACCTTTTCAAAAACTAACAATTTAGTTGATTTCTTCCTGTTTTTCTATTTTTTATTTCTGCTCTAATTTTTATTCTTTCCTTTTTTCTGCTAACTTTGGGCTTAGTTTTGTTCTTTTTTTTCTAGTTCCTTGAGATGTAAAGTTGAGTTGCTTATTTGAGATCTTTCTTCCTTTAAAAATAGGCAATTATCATTAGAAACTTCCCTCTTAGTCCTGATTTTGCTTCATCCTGTAAGTGTTCATTTGTTGTGTTTTTGTCTTTTTTAAAATTTTCCTTGATTTCATCTTTGATCCACTGGTTGTTTTAAGAGTGTGTTGTTAATTCCCACATAATTGTGATTTTCCCAGTTTTCCTTCTGTTACTGATTTCTAATTTTAGTCTATTGTGCTTGGGAAAAAAAGGTTGGTATCATTTCAGTCTTCTTAAATTTGTTCAGACTTGTTTTATGACTTAATATGTGATCTATCCTGGAGAATGTTCTATGTGCAGTTGAGAAGACTGTGTATTCTGCAACTGTTAGGTGGAATATTCAGTATATGTGTGTTCTGTTCATTATTGAAAATGGGGTACTGACATCTTCTACTGTATTGCTAATTGCTATTTTTCCCTTCAGTTCTGTCAGTGTTTGCTTTATGTATTTAGGTACTCTAATGTTGGGTGTATATATGTTTATACTTGTGATATCTTCCTAATGAATTGACTCTTTTATCATATGACCTTCTTTGTCTCTTGGGATGGTTTTTTATTTAAAGTCTATATCGTCTGATAGTGTGGCCACACCTGTGCTCTTTTGGTTGCTATCTGCATGGAATATATTTTCCTATTCCTTCACTTTTAGCCTGTGTGTCCTTAAATCTAAAGTGAGTCTCTTCTAGATAGTATATAGTTAGATCTTATTTTTAAAATTAATTCAGCCACTATATGTTTTTTGATTAGGGAGTTTACTCCATTTACATTAAAGTAATTATTGATAGGGAAAGACTTACTAGTTCCATTTTGTTAATTGGTTTCTTTCTTGTAGTTGTTTTGTCCCTTTTGTCCTCTCTTGCTGTCTTCCTTTGTGATTTGTTGATTTTGCTTTGATCCTTCCTTTTTTTTTTTTCTTTCGTGTATCTTCTATAGGTATTTTCTTTGTGGTTACCAAAGTCTTAACAGAAAACAACTTATAGCTACAGCGAAAGCAATTTAAAAAAATAGACAAACAGGACTGCATCTAATTAAAAAGCTTTTGCACAGCAAAGAAAACAGTTAAGAGACTGAACTGGTAATCTATGGAATAGGAGAAAATATTTGCAAACCATGTATCTAATGAGGGGTTAATATCCAAAGTATATAAGGAACACCTGCAACTCAACAGCCAAAAAAAAAAAAAAAAATCCCCAAAACAAAAAACAAATAACCTGGTTAAAACATGGGTAAAGGACTTGAATGAACATTTCTTAAGACATACAAATGTGTAAGGTGCTGTATATGAAAAGATATTCAATATCGCTAATCATCAGGAAAATGCAAATCAAAACCACAATGACTGAACACTTCATATCTGTTAGGATGGCTGATATCAAAACAAAACAAATGGTAACAAGTGTTGGAGAGGATGTGGAGAAATTAGAACCCTGTACACTGTAGATGGTCATGTAAAATGGTGTAGCTGCTGTGGAAAATAGTATGGAGATTCCTTAAAAAATAAGAATAGAATTACCATATGATCCCACTTCTGGGTACATATCCAAAGGAAATGAAATCAGAATCTTGAGGAGATCCCATGTTCACAATAGCATTAATCACAGTAGCCAAGATATATAAACAAGATGTATAAACATCTATAGATGAATGGATAAAGAAAATGTGGTATATACATACAATGGAATATTATTCCACCTTAAGGAAGTCCTGCTGTATGTGACAACATGGATGACCCTGCAAGACATTACACTATGTGAAAGAATCCAGTCACAGAAGGACAAATACTGAATGATTTCACTTATATGAAATATCTAAAAATAGTCAAATTCAGAAAACAGAGAGTAGAATGGTGATTGCCAAGGACTGGGAGGAAGGGGAAATTGGGAATTGATGTTAGGTAGGTATCACAGGCAAAGCAGATAGTTCAATATTGGGAAATTTATAAACAAGTTTTTACATTAGTAGATCTAATGGAGAAATGATTATTTCATTAAGCTCCAAAAAGTATTTGGGAATAAAAATAAAATCTGTAATTAAAAATATTTCTTTAGAGTAGAATATTTCTTTATAGTAGAATAATACCTCAAATATGATAAAGAATATGTATTTGAAATTTGCAATCAGCATAATCAAAGTCAAATACTTTTGTTATGCATATAAAACATTTGTGAGAAAAGTCATATAATATGGTGGAGTAGGGAACTCTAGGGCTCTTGCAAAAACACCTAATAAGCTTCCAGAAACTATCAGAATTAGTTTTCGTAGAACTCTGGAATTTAGTTAACATTAAAAACCAGGAAAAGTAGGGAGCTGTAGCGCTGCAGAAACAGAACACTATGGCACCTTAAATTGCTCACCTACCATTCCTTGTGCCTAGATGAACAATGACTTTGAAGACAGCAGCTTATACTCATGGTGCAGGCTGTTAGCACGAGAAGGATTAGTACAGATCTTGCTCTCAAAAAATTGTGATCGTTTTAACCTGTCTGAAGTATCTGAAGGACCAGTATAGAGCTTCCTTTTGTTTTACACAGCTCAGAGCTTTCCTGGGACTGGGGTGGCTTGTCTGTCATCACGTGTCAAAAGTATTTAAAAGCCAGAGTATCAGCTGTAGAAGCCTGAGTCTGGGGATAAAAATTAGGACAATGAATAGGTAGACAAAAAGCCAGGAAGGAACGGTTGAAAAGGAGATACGGGGTGGTATAAGGACTTTTAAATGCTTTTTTGTATGCTGAGAAATTGAGAATGCTACGTACATGCCTAGGATTGGACAACTCCTCAGAGAAGGCTTGAGAAGACCCTAAGCTTTCACCACTAGCTGACCTTCAGGCTCTGCCTAACTAAGTAGGATGTGAAGGCTAAGATATAGTTGTAAACAGCCTGGCTTAGTGTTGATGGAATGCCCCAACACAGAGCAAAAAAGACTGGGAGTGTTTTTTTTCTTTCCTATTACCTTTTTTCTTTCCTTGGCTGCAGGTGTTTAAGGAACCTGTCAAAATAGTAGTTGACCCTGAAGCTAAGTGAGCACAGACTTCAGTTCCATGCACAACAAAGAATGTAAGCTTTATGAAATAGTCACTAAACAACACTTACAACAAGCAGTAACAGCAAACTCCAGGGAAGGGGGAGAATCCAGTATCCAGAGTTGTCACTTTATAATATTCAATATGTCCAGTTTTCAACAAATTATAAGGCATGCAAAGAAGTAAAAAAGTGTGACTCATTCAAAGGAAAAAAGAGAAATTAATGAAACTATCCCTGAGGAAGCCCACCTTAAATGTACTCAATGAGCTGAACAATACCATCAGCAAAGAACTAAGGGAAACCAAGAAAAGGATTTCCCACCAAAAAGAAATATCGACAAAGAGAAATTATAAAAAGGAAACAAATAGAAATTCTGCAGCTGAAAAGTACAGTAACAAAAATTCTTTAGAAGGATTCAATAGCTGAGTAGTCTGAACAAAGAATCAGTGAACTTGAAGAAAGGTCAGATGATTTATTTATTCGAGGAGAAGAAAGAGAAAAGAATAAAGAAAATGAACAGGGCTATGGGACATCCCCAAGCATACCAACATATGCATTATGGGATTCTTAGAGGGAAGAGAGAGAGAGAGAGAGAGAGAGAGAAAGGGGCGGTAATAATATTTGAAGAAATAATGGTTGAAAACTTCCCTAATTTGTTGAAAAATGAATTTCAAATGGGTTAAACTCAAAGAGACCCACACCATGTCACATTATAGTCAAATTGTTAAATATTTAGCATAGATGTTGGTTCTATTAGTAGAAATATACTTTCCTTAATGAAGTCAGCTTTAACAGATTTTTTTTTTAAATCTGGTTTTGAAGTCATAAAATACAAAACTATGAGCTTCTTACAAAGTTATTCCTGCCGTAAATACTGTGGTAATTTATATATTTAAAAAATTGAGAATTTTTTTAAAACAAGTGTTTCCAAAAGCTTATTGATTTTTAAGTAAGTTTTGTATCACATGGTAATACGTTTCTTTTATTTGTAGAAAGTAGATTTTTACTTTTTAGTGCTTGTTGACTCTGTGTGTGTGTGTGTGTGTGTGTGTGTGTGTGTGTGTGTCTATTGGTTTACATGACGGTGAAGAACTACTTATTTCTTTTTTGGTTTGTTACATGAAGTCTTTGACATTGTTTGTTTGTTTGTGACAGGGTCTTGCTCAGTCACCGAGGCTGGAGTGTAGTGGCTGGATCTTAGCTCACTGCAATGTCCACCTCCCGAGCTCAAGCTATCCTTCCACCTCAGTCTCTCAAAGTGCTGGTATTACAGGCTTAAGCCACTGCACCTGGCTGATGTGTCATTAAGCTGGATGATGAGAGAATAATATAACCTGATAAAACTCATGTAGATCTTTTGAGAAGAGATAATTTTAATTGTGAAATAGCATCTGGAAATCAGTAAAAGACATATTTTAGCTAACCAGTAATTTCATAACATCTTTATCTCAGTATAATTTACTATAATACATAAGGTTTGCCCATTTAAAGTGTATAGTTTATTTATAGAATTTTACAATAGCATAATTTTAGAACTTTGTTGTCATTAGCCCCTCTCCCCCAATTCCCTAGCCCTAGGCAAACACCAGTCCACTTTCTCTCCCAATTCTTTTTTGCCAATTCTGGACATTTTATATAAACAGAATTGTAATGTATGATCTTTTGTGACTGCCTTCTTTTACTTAGCATAGTGTTTTCAAGAGTCATTCATGTTATGTTGTAATGTGAATCAGTACTTCATCCCTTTTTATTGCCAAATTACATTTCATTGTATAGATACTTTGTTTACTCATTAGTTGGTAGACATTTGGATTTTCCACTCTGGCCATTGTGAATAGTGCTGCTATGAACATAGTGTTTATGTGTTAGGGTAGGTGTTTCATTTCTCTTGGTTATATACCTAACAGTAGAATTACTGGGACATACAGTAACTCCATGTTTAACATGTTGAGGAACTTCTAAACTTTTTTCTGAAGTAGCTGCACTATTTACATTCCCATGAGCAGTATATGAGGGTTTCAGTTTCTCCACGTCCTTTCCAACATTTGTCATTTTCTGTCTTTTTGATTATAGCCTGGTTGGGTGTTAAGGGGTATTTATTGTGTTTTTTACCTATTTCTAACAACTAATGGTGTTGAACATCTTTTCATGTGCTTATTGGTCATTTATCTTTTCTGATGAAATACCTATTCAAATTCTTTACCCATTTATAAATTTATCACTGTACAAATTTGTTGAGTTGCAAGCATTCTTTTTATATTCTGGATATTAGACCTTTAGCAGATTTATGGACTTACCAATATTTTCTCCCATTCTGTAGACTTTTTTACTTTCTTGATGGTGACCTTTGATACGCAAAAGTTTTAAATTCTGATGAACTCTAACTTATCAGACTTTTATTCTTTGCACTTTTGGTGACATATCTAAGAAATCAGTGCATAACCCAGGGTCACAAAGATTTAGTGTTTTCTTCTGAGAGATTTAGTTTTAGTTTTTATATTTAGATCTGTGGTTCTATTTGAGGCAATTAAAATTTTTATTTTTTTAATTGTGATAAAATATACATAAAATTTATCATCTTAACCATTGTTAAGTATATGGTTCAGTGGCGTTAAGTACATTCATATTGTTGTTTAACCAATCTCTATAGCTTTTTAAATCTTGTAATACTGAAACTCTATATCCATTAAACAACAACTCCCCATTTTCCCCTTCCCCTTAGGCCCTAGCAACCACCATTCTACTTTCTGTCTCTATGAATTTGGCTACTCTAGGTACCTTATAGTAGCAGAATCACACAGTATATGTCTTTTTGCCACTGGTTTATTTCATTCAGTAGTATATTCTTAAAATTCACCCATGTTGTACTATATGTCAGAATTTCCTTCTTTTTTGAGATTATATTATTCCATTGTATGTGTATGCCACAAACAAAAGTTTATCCATTCATCTGTTGATAGACACTTGAGTTGCTTCTGCCATTTGGCTATTGTGAATAGTGCTGCTGTGAACATGCTTGTTATAATTATCTCTTCAAGGTCCTGCTTTCACTTCTTTTGGGTACAGACCCAAAAGTGGAATTCCTGGATCATACAGTCATTCTACTTTTAAGTTTTTGAGGAAGCTCCGTACTGTTTTCCATAAGGGCTACACTGTTTACATTCCCACCAGCAGTATTCGAGGGTACTGATTTCTCCACATCCTTGCCAATACTTGTTATTTTCTGTTTTTTTTTGTTTTTTTTTTTCCTTCTTAATAATGGCTATTCTAACAGGTCTGAATTGATGTCTCATTGTGGTGGTGATTTTCATTTCCCTTATGATTAGTAATATTGAGCTTCTTTTCATTTTTGGTTGGCCAGTTGTATACCTTCTCTGGAGAAATGTCTATTATTTTTGCCTATCTTTGAATCAGGTTTTGTTGTTGTTGTTCCTGAGTTGTAAGTGTCCTTTATATGTTCTGGATATTAACCTTGCATCAGATACAGTGAGTCTTTGCCTCACATCTTTGTTAAGTTCTTGGAAACTGACCTGTAAGTGAAGTGACGTATAGCATAGCAAAACAAACTGATATAAGTTAATTGATAAAACAAGAGTTAAGTTCCTATGGTATTCAGTACATTGTTTCACTTAAAGGTGCAATTTCTAAGTACCTATTGATGATGTTAAGTGAAGACTTATTGTACATGATTTGCAAATATTTTCTCCCATTTTCTAGGTTACCTTTTCACTCTGTTGATGGTGTCCTTTGGTGAACAGAAGTTTTAAATTTTGATTTAGTCCAATTTATCAACTTTTACTTTTGTTGCCTTTCTCCTTTGAGTCAGTTTTTATGTATGGCATGCAAATTCGTCTTTGCATATAGATATTGAGTTGTTTCAGCACTGTTGAAAAGACTCTTCTTTCCCTGTTGAATTTTCATGACCTCTTTGCTGAAAATCAATTTACCATAAATGTTAGTGTTTATTTCTGGACTGTCGGTTCTATGCCATTGATCTACATGACTGTCCTTATGCCAGCACTGTGCTGTCTTGATTATTGTAGCTTTGGAGTAAGTTTTGACATCGGAAAGAGTGAGTCCTCCAACGATGTTTGTCATTTTCAAGATTATTTTGGCTGTTCTGGGTTTATGATCTGCTTGTCAATTACTGAAAAAAAAAAGGCTAGGCTTTTAATAAGAGTTGCATTGAATCTCTAGATTACTATGGGAAATATTACCACTTGAATCTCTAGATTAGTTTAGGAAGTATTAATCTTTCAGTCCATAAACATGAGCCAGTTTTCTAGTTATTTTGATTTTCTTCCATTTCATTCTATGTTTTTTAGTATACTAGACATATATTTATTTTGCTAAATATATTCTCAAGTATTTAATTCTTTTTCTTGCTGTTGTAAATTGAATTTTTTTTAAAAATTTATTTTTGGATTGTGAATTGCTAGTGTATTAAAATACAGTTGATTTTTGTATATTGCACTGGCATCCTGCAGCTTTGCTGAACTTATTAGTCTTAATTGGTTTGTCCTGGTTTCCTTGGGATTTCCTGTATGAAGTTCATGTCATCTGCAAATAGATATAGTTGTACTTCTTTCTTTCCAATCTAGATGTCTTTAATTTCTAACCTGGTTGCCCTGGCAATATGTAACATCCAATATGATACTGAATAGAAGAGGTAAGAATGGCCATACTTGTCTTGTTCTTGATTGTAGGGAGAAAGCATCTAGCTTTTCATTATTCGGTATTATGTTAGCGCTGAGTCTTTCATAGGTACTCTTCATCTGGTTAAAGAAATCCCTTCCATTCCTAGTTTGCTGAGAAATTTTATCACAAAAACGTATTGGGTTTTGTTGAACTGAACAGTAGCTTTTAAGAGCCTGTTACATATCTAATGACATGTGGTTGGTTTGTTGTAAAATTACTTGGAAATGGTTATGTGAAAATACTGAAATTTACTTGGCAAATACTAAAGCTACAAGAATTTTTAAAATGGAAAGGTTATTATGAAAGCTTGAAAGATGCAATGGGAGGAGGTAGAGCATGAAGTGTTAAAAAATTTGTAAGATATAATTGTTGGAAAGGAAGAAGAGAAATATATTTTGGGATGAGTATAAATCTACTCATGCATACTTTTAAGAGGCTGGAATAGGTTTATGTTTCTCAAATTCGGATATTTGCTTCCCACTGATATGTCAGGAGGTATCAAGGCAATAAGAAGCCACAGAATAAAAACAACATTTTTTTTGCCCAAATAAAATTTTTACATCTATTTTTATCAGCTAATGACGAATATTTTTATTTATTTAGTAATTTATTCGTTTATTTATTTATTTATTTATTTATTTATTTTACTTTAAGTTCCAGGATACATATGCAGAACGTGCAGGTTTGTTACACAGGTATACATGTGCCATGGTGGTTTGCTGCACCTATCAACCCATCATTTAGGTTTTAAGCCCTGCATACGTTAGGTATTTGTCCTAATGCTCTCCCTCCCCTTGCCCCTGACCCCACCGACAGGCCCCGGTGTGTGATGTTCCCCTCCCTGTGTCCATGTGTTCTCATTGTTCAACTCCCATTTATGAGTGAGAACACGTGGTGTTTGGTTTTCTGTTCCTGTGTTAGTTTGCTGAGAATGATGGCTTCCGGCTTCATCCATGTCCCAGCAAAGGACATGGTCTTATTCTTTTTTATGGCTGCATAGTATTCCATGGTATATATGTGCCACATTTTCTTTATCCAGTCTATCATTGATGGGCAAAAAGTGGCATTTTTAAAGTGTTAGTTTTGTCCAGTGGTATTTAATTTTTTTTAAGTCAACATTTTGTTTTGAAATAATTGTAGTTTCACATGTGATAAATAATATAGAGATATCACATATACCCTTCACCCAATTTCCCCAAGTGGTAACATCTTGCATAACTGTGGTGATATATCACAACCACAACGTTGATATTGATACAGCCAAGATACTGAACATTTACATCACTACAAAGGTGCCTCATGATACCTTATAATAGCTACTTCCACTTCTCTCCTGCCCCACCTTTTACTGAGCTCCTGGCAACCACTAATTTGTTCCTTTGTTTCTATAACTTTGTAATTTCAAGAATGTCATATAAATGATAACATATAGTATGCAACCTTATTGTATTGGCCTTTTTTTCACTCAGCATACTTATCTGGAGATTCATCCAGACTGTTTTATGTATCAGTAGTTTTTCTTTTTTATTGATGTATAGTATTCCAAAGTATGAATGCACCACAGTTTAAATATTCACTATTGAAGGACATCTTGGTTGTTTCCCAGTTTTTGGCTTTACCAGTACAGCTGCTGTAAACATTCATATGCAAGTTTTTGTGTGAATATGTCTTTGTTTCTGTGGGGTAGATGCCCAGGATTGCAATTGCTGGGTCATGTGGTAGTTGCATGTTTAGTTTTTTGAAAGACAGGCCACACCTTTTTCCAGGGTGGTTATATCATTTACATTCCCACCAGCAGTGTGTGAGTAATCCGTCTACTCCATATCCTCACCAGCATTTGATACTGTCACTATTTTTATTCTAGTCATTCTAATAGGTATGTAGTGGTATCTTATTAAGTTTTTAATGTGTATTTCCCTAATGGTTTTTGATGTTGCACATTTTTTAATATTTCTGTTTCCAGTCTCTTTCTCCTGTTAAGTGAAATGTCTGTATCTTTTGCCCATTTTCTTTTTTTATTTTTATTTTTATTTATTTATTTTTATTATTATACTTTAAGTTTTAGGGTACATGTGCACATTGTGCAGGTTAGTTACATATGTATACATGTGCCATGCTGGTGTGCTGCACCCACTAACTTGTCATCTAGCATTAGGTATATCTCCTAATGCTATCCGTCCCCACTCCCCCCACCCCACCACAGTCCCCAGAGTGTGATATTCTCCTTCCTGTGTCCATGTGATCTCATTGTTCAATTCCCACCTATGAGTGAGAATATGCGGTGTTTGCTTTTTGTTCTTGCGATAGTTTACTGAGAATGATGATTTCCAATTTCATCCATGTCCCTACAAAGGACATGAACTCATCATTTTTTATGGCTGCATAGTATTCCATGGTGTATATGTGCCACATTTTCTTAATCCAGTCTATAATTCTTGGACATTTGGATTGGTTCCAAGTCTTTGCTATTGTGAATAATGCCGCAATAAACATACGTGTGCATGTGTCTTTATAGCAGCATGATTTATAGTCCTTTGGGTATATACCCAGTAATGGGATGGCTGGGTCAAATGGTATTTCTAGTTCTAGATCCCTGAGGAATCGCCACATTGACTTCCACAATGGTTGAACTAGTTTACAGTCCCACCAACAGTGTAAAAGTGTTCCTATTTCTCCACATCCTCTCCAGCACCTGTTGTTTCCTGACTTTTTAATGATTGCCATTCTAACTGGTGTGAGATGGTATCTCATTGTGGTTTTGATTTGCATTTCTCTGATGTCCAGTGATGATGAGCATTTTTTCATGTGTTTTTTGTCTGCATAAATGTCTTCTTTTGAGAAGTGTCTGTTCATGTCCTTCGCCCACTTTTTGATGGGGTTGTTTGTTTTTTTCTTGTAAATTTGTTTGAGTTCATTGTAGATTCTGGATATTAGCCCTTTGTCAGATGAGTAGGTTGCGAAAATTTTCTCCCATTTTGTAGGTTTCCTGTTCACTCTGATGGTAGTTTCTTTTGCTGTGCAGAAGCTCTTTAGTTTAATTAGATCCCATTTGTCAATTTTGTCTTTTGTTGCCATTGCTTTTGGTGTTTTAGACATGAAGTCCTTGCCCACACCTATGTCCTGAATGGTAATGCCTAGGTTTTCTTCTAGGGTTTTTATGGTTTTCAGTCTAACATGTAAGTCTTTAATCCATCTTGAATTAATTTTTGTATACGGTGTAAGGAAGGGATCCAGTTTCAGCTTTCTACATATGGCTAGCCAGTTTTCCCAGCACCATTTATTAAACAGGGAATCCTTTCCCCATTGCTTGTTTTTCTCAGGTTTGTCAAAGATCAGATAGTTGTAGATATGCTGCATTATTTCTGAGGGCTCTGTTCTGTTCCATTGATCTATATCTCTGTTTTGGTACCAGTACCATGCTGTTTTGGTTACTGTAGCCTTGTAGTATAGTTTGAAGTCAGGTAGCGTGATGCCTCCAGGTTTGTTCTTTTGGCTTAGGATTGACTTGGCGATGCAGGCTCTTTTTTGGTTCCATATGAACTTTAAAGTAGTTTTTTCCAATTCTGTGAAGAAAGGCATTGGTAGCTTGATGGGGATGGCATTGAATCTGTAAGTTACCTTGGGCCGTATGGCCATTTTCACGATATTGATTCTTCCTACCCATGAGCATGGAATGTTCTTCCATTTGTTTGTATCCTCTTTTATTTCCTTGAGTAGTGGTTTGTAGTTCTCCTTGAAGAGGTCCTTCACATCCCTTGTAAGTTGGATTCCTAGGTATTTTATTCTCTTTGAAGCAATTGTGAATGGGAGTTCACTCATGATTTGGCTCTCTGTTTGTCTGTTGTTGGTGTATAAGGATGCTTGTGATTTTTGTACATTGATTTTGTATCCTGAGACTTTGCTGAAGTTGCTTATCAGCTTAAGGAGATTTTGGGCTGAGACAGTGGGGTTTTCTAGATATACAATCATGTCATCTGCAAACAGGGACAATTTGACTTCCTCTTTTCCTAATTGAATAGCTTTTATTTCCTTCTCCTGCCTAATTGCCCTGGCCAGAACTTCCAACACCATGTTGAATAGGAGTGGTGAGAGAGGGCATCCCTGTCTTGTGCCGGTTTTCAAAGGGAATGCTTCCAGTTTTTGGGCATTCAGTATGATATTGGCTGTGGGTTTGTCATAGATAACTCTTATTATTTTGAAATACGTCCCATCAATACCTAATCTATTGAGAGTTTTTAGCATGAAGTGTTGTTGAATTTTGTCAAAGGCTTTTTCTGCATCTATTGAGAAAATCATGTGGTTTTTGTCTTTGGCTCTGTTTATATGCTGGATTACATTTATTGATTTGCATATATTGAACCAGCCTTGCATCCCAGGGATGAAGCCCACTTGATCATGGTGGATAAGCTTTTCGGTGTGCTGCTGGATTCAGTTTGCCAGTATTTTATTGAGGATTTTTGCATCAATGTTCATCAAGGATATTGGTCTAAAATTCTCTTTTTTTGTTGTGTCTCTGCCTGGCTTTGGTATCAGAATGATGCTGGCCTCATAAAAAGAGTTAGGGAGGATTCCCTCTTTTTCCATTGATTGGAATAGTTTCAGAAGGAATGGTACCAGTTCCTTCTTGTACCTCTGGTAGAATTCGGCTGTTAATCCATCTGGTCCTGGACTCTTTTTGGTTGGTAAGCTATTGATTATTGCCACAATTTCAGATCCTGTTATTGGTCTATTCAGAGATTCAACTTCTTCCTGGTTTAGTCTTGGGAGAGTGTATGTGTCGAGGAATTTATCCATTTCTTCTAGATTTTCTAGTTTATTTGCATAGAGGTGTTTGTAGTATTCTCTGATGGTAGTTTGTATTTCTGTGGGATCGGTGGTGATATCCCCTTTATCATTTTTAATTGTGTCTATTTGATTCTTCTCTCTTTTTTTCTTTATTAGTCTTGCTAGCAGTCTTTTGTTGATCCTTTCAAAAAACCAGCTCCTGGATTCATTAATTTTTTGAAGGGTTTTTTGTGTCTCTATTTCCTTCAGTTCTGCTCTGATTTTAGTTATTTCTTGCCTTCTGCTAGCTTTTGAATGTGTTTGCTCTTGCTTTTCTAGTTCTTTTAATTGTGATGTTAGGGTGTCAATTTTGGATCTTTCCTGCTTTCTCTTGTGGGCATTTAGTGCTATAAATTTCCCTCTACACACTGCTTTGAATGTGTCCCAGAGATTCTGGTATGTTGTGTCTTTGTTCTCGTTGGTTTCAAAGAACATCTTTATTTGTGCCTTCATTTCGTTATGTACCCAGTAGTCATTCAGGAGCAGGTTGTTCAGTTTCCATGTAGTTGAGCGGTTTTGAGTGAGATTCTTAATCTTGAGTTCTAGTTTGATTGCACTGTGGTCTGAGAGATAGTTTGTTATAATTTCTGTTCTTTTACATTTGTTGAGGAGAGCTTTAGTTCCAAGTATGTGGTCAATTTTGGAATAGGTGTGGTGTGGTGCTGAAAAAAATGTATATTCTGTTGATTTGGGGTGGAGAGTTCTGTAGATGTCTATTAGGTCCACTTGGTGCAGAGCTGAGTTCAGTTCCTGGGTATCCTTGTTGACTTTCTGTCTCGTTGATCTGTCTAATGTTGACAGTGGGGTGTTAAAGTCTCCCATGATTAATGTGTGGGAGTCTAAGTCTCTTTGTAGGTCACTCAGGACTTGCTTTATGAATCTGGGTGCTCCTGTATTGGGTGCATATATATTTAGGATAGTTAGCTCTTCTTGTTGAATTGATCCCTTTACCATTATGTAATGGCCTTCTTTGTCTCTTTTGATCTTTGTTGGTTTAAAGTCTGTTTTATCAGAGACTAGGATTGCAACCCCTGCCTTTTTTTGTTTTCCATTTGCTTGGTAGATCTTCCTCCATCCTTTTATTTTGAGCCTATGTGTGTCTCTGCATGTGAGATGGGTTTCCTGAATACAGCACACTGATGGGTCTTGACTCTTTATCCAATTTGCCAGTCTTTGCCTTTTAATTGGAGCATTTAGTCCATTTATATTTAAAGTTAATATTGTTATGTGTGAATTTGATCCTGTCATTATGATGTTAGCTGGTTATTTTGCTCATTAGTTGATGCAGTTTCTTCCTAGTCTTGATGGTCTTTACATTTTGGCATGATTTTGCAGCGGCTGGTACTGGTTGTTCCTTTCCATGTTTAGTGCTTCCTTCAGGAGCTCTTTTAGGGCAGGCCTAGTGGTGACAAAATCTCTCAGCATTTGCTTGTCTGTAAAGGATTTTATTTCTCCTTCACTTATGAAGCTTAGTTTGGCTGGATATGAAATTCTGGGTTGAAAATTCTTTTCTTTAAGAATGTTGAATATTGGCCCCCACTCTCTTCTGGCTTATAGGGTTTCTGCCGAGAGATCCGCTGTTAGTCTGATGGGCTTCCCTTTGTGGGTAATCCGACCTTTCTCTCTGGCTGTCCTTAACATTTTTTCCTTCATTTCAACTTTGGTGAATCTGACAATTAATGTGTCTTGGAGTTGCTCTTCTCGAGGAGTATCTTTGTGGCGTTCTCTGTATTTCCTGAATCTGAATGTTGGCCTGCCTTGCTAGATTGGGGAAGTTCTCCTGGATAATATCCTGCAGAGTGTTTTCCAACTTGGTTCCATTCTCCCCATCACTTTCAGGTACACCAATCAGACGTAGATTTGTTCTTTTCACATAGTCCCATATTTCTTGGAGGCTTTGCTCATTTCTTTTTATTCTTTTTTCTCTAAACTTCCCTTCTCGCTTCATTTCATTCATTTCTTCTTCCATCGCTGATACCCTTTCTTCCAGTTGATGGCATCGGCTCTTGAGGCTTCTGCATTCTTCACATAGTTCTCGAGCCTTGTTTTTCAGCTCCATCAGCTCCTTTAAGCACTTCTCTGTATTGGTTATTCTAGTTACACATTCTTCTAAATTTTTTTCAAAGTTTTCAACTTCTTTGCCTTTGGTTTGAATGTCCTCCCGTAGCTCAGAGTAATTTGATCGTCTGAAGCCTTCTTCTCTCAGCTCGTCAAAGTCATTCTCCATCCAGCTTTGTTCCATTGCTGGTGAGGAACTGTGTTCCTTTGGAGGAGGAGAGGTGCTCTGCTTTTTAGAGTTTCCAGTTTTTCTGCTCTGTTTTTTCCCCATCTTTGTGGTTTTATCTACTTTTGGTCTTTGATGATGGTGATGTACAGATGGGTTTTTGGTGTGGATGTCCTTTCTATTTGTTAATTTTCCTTCTAACAGACAGGACCCTCCGCTGCAGGTCTGTTGGAATACCCTGCCGTGTGAGGTGTCAGTGTGCCCCTGCTGGGAGGTGCCTCCCTGTTAGGCTGCTCAGGGGTCAGGGGTCAGGGACCCACTTGAGGAGGCAGTCTGCCCGTTCTCAGATCTCCAGCTGTGTGCTGGGAGAACCACTGCTCTCTTCAAAGCTGTCAGACAGGGACATTTAAGTCTGCAGAGGTTACTGCTGCTTTTTGTTTGTCTGTGCCCTTCCTCCAGAGATGTAGCCTACAGAGGCAGGCAGGCCTCCTTGAGCTGTGGTGGGCTCCACCCAGTTCGAGCTTCCAGGCTGCTTTGTTTACCTAAGCAAGCCTGGGCAATGGCGGGCGCCCCTCCCCCAGCCTCGCTGCCACCTTGCAGTTTGATCTCAGACTGCTGTGCTAGCAATCAGCGAGACTCCGTGGGCCTAGGACGCTCGGAGCCAGGTGCGGGGTATAATCTCGTGGTGCGCCGTTTTTTAAGCCGGTTGGAAAAGCGCAGTATTCGGGTGGGAGTGACCCGATTTTCCAGGTGCGTCCGTCACCCCTTTCTTTGACTAGGAAAGGGAACTCCCTGACCCCTTGCGCTTCCCAAGTGAGGCAATGCCTTGCCCTGCTTCGTCTCGCACACGGTGCGCGCACCCACTGACCTGCGCCCACTGTCTGGCACTCCCTAGTTAGATGAACCCAGTACCTCAGATGGAAGTGCAGAAATCACCGTCTTCTGCGTGGCTCACGCTGGGAGCTGTAGACCGGAGCTGTTCCTATTCGGCCATCTTGGCTCCTGTCCCTCTTTTGCCCATTTTTTAATTGGATTGTCTTTTTTTTCCCTTTTTACTGTTGTGAATTGTATATATATGTTAGTATATATGTTAGATGTAAGGCTAGCAGATACAAGACCTTTGTTGGATATGAGGTTTGCAAATATTTTCTTGTAACCTGTAGCTGGGAGAGAGAGGGGCATTTTGTTTTGCTGGATAGTCTAGGTAGGCTTCGCTAGACTTTCACTGACGCCGCAAGGAAGGGATAGCACTTTATCAGCCAGCAGAGATGAAAGTAAGTCCTGGGTTCCTCACTTGGCCTTTGCTGGTGTTGGTGTGAGTGGGTCTAGTTTTTTCTGTGATGGTTGGCTGGAGTAGAATGGTTATTATTTAAAAGTTCTCTCTTTTGCTAGGCTTCACCTCTACTGGGTTTTTAGCTAGTGAGAAAAGCTCTTGTTAGGGTTTTTTGTCTGTGTCCATTGTTCCTGGGTAGCTGACTTCTTCAGCTCCAAGTCTGTATATGCAAGAGAAAAAGAAAACCCAGTGATTGCACCACAGCATAATTCCTCAGGTCCCTAGATCTCTAGCTAATCTACGTTCTTCTCTACATCTTTCAGATTCTTCTTACATTTGTTTTATATATATTTTCCAGTGGGCTGAATTATACTTAGCAGGAGAAATAGGGAAAAGTACATCTGGCCAGGCGCAGTGGCTCATGCCTGTAATCCCAGCACTTTGGGGAGGCTGAGGCAGGAGGATCCCTTGAATCCAGGAGTTGGAGACCAGCCTGGGCAACAAAGTGAGACCCAGTCTCTACAAAAATAAAAATAAGAAAATTAGCCCGGTGTAGTGGCATGTGCCTGTTGTCCCAGCTATCCAGGAGGCTGAGGTGGCAGGATCGCCTGAGCCTGGGAGGTCGTGGCTTCAGTGATAGTGCCACAGCATTCCAGCCTGGGTGACACAGCAAGACCCTGTCTTAAACAAAGAAGAAGAGAAAAGAAAGAAAAATGTCACAGGATCCTCAGGGTGTCAGTTTGCAAGCTGGAAACCACTGTGGCCAGCAGCACCTTCTGCCTGAGTATTGTTCACACTGCTGGGCACATTCTCCGCACTTGGCCTGGCAGGCTGTGCTTGGCTCGCACTACTATGCTATGTCTTACACCTGCCAAGCATGAGCCAGGTGTGGAGTGGTGAGGGGTGTGTGGGCAAGCAAGTGTGGGGTCTAGCCACTGTACACAGCCAGGCATGCTGACGGCTGTGGTAGGGCAGGCAGCTCCAGTGCTGGCACTGGTGCTGGCGCCACGCAAGGCTGCAGCTGGACCAGATGTACTGTGCGTGGCTTCTGCTGTGGGCACCCACATCTGGGTGAGGGAAATGTGGTGGTGGCAACTGGAAGCTTGGAAGACACCAGGAACCACAAAACCCCAAAGAGGGTGTCATAGTCCTGGCTCAGGGACCCCCTAGGTCTGGGCTTCCCGAAAGGCCACAGCTTGTCTCTTCTTCTTGTTCCCTGCAACATGGCAGGCGGGGAGGGGGCATGTTTCAGCCCTGTTTGTGTTACAGCTCTTTTAGTCCCACCATTTGGTGGATCCTGAGCTCTTGTCCTGCATCCATGAAGAATGAGGTATGTGGACAACTGGAGGGTGAGCAAGATGGAGAGGAGTTTCATCGAGTGGCAGAACAGTTTTCAGGAGACCCAAAGTGGGTAGCTCCTTTCTGCAGGCAGGTCATCCTGATGACTGTCCATCTGTCAGTGGAGAGGAGAACCTAGAGTGGGTAGCTCCTACCTGCATGCAGGTCATCCCATAATCTGCATCTTTCAGCAGAGAAGAGACCCGGAGTGGCTAGCTCCTATCTGCAGGCAGGTCATTCCATTGTCTCTCCAAGTCTGGCTGAGTCCAGGGTTTTTATGGGCTTCAAAGGGGAGGAGATGCATGCCAATTGGTCCATGGGCAGGCCCGGAAAAAGCACTATAAGTTCTCCTTTCTGCGAAACTGGCAGCCCTTCAACCCATCCCTGGCTTAAAGGTGGAGCTTCACTGGTGACCTGCCCCTTTCTGCCCAGGAGCCTGTCTGCCATCTCTGCCATCTACGGTACCCATGGCACACCCAGGCTGTTTATGTCAGGGGGCGCCTGCAGGCCCACTCTGAGCTGCCCTCAGCCCTCCCTGCCCCTGCAACCTCCCTCCTGTGCTTGTGGGTGCCCAGTGTCTGGAGGGGCGGCAGGGGGCTGGTGTGACAGTGCTGTCCCAAGTGTGCGCACACCTGGCTGGGTCGCAACAGTGCCTGGACTTGGCCTCAACTTTGCTGTGTAATTGGAGCGGGAACCAGGAGTGGGGAGAGGCCTGGCAGTGGGAGCAGGCACTTCTGAGCCTGCAGGGGCAGGGGGAGTTCCCAGATCCCCGAAAGTGCAGTGGTGCCTGGGTCTACAGCTGTGACTGGGCAGCTGCAGCTGTGCCCAGGAGGGTGGGGTTCCTGCCCCTCCAACTCAGAAGGGAGTGGGGCTTCTGCCTGTTCCTGGCTCCCACCACCTCAGTACAGCGAGTAGCCCTAGCTGTTCCTTCCCCACTGCAGCTGGCATCATTGCAGCAGCCACTCCAGATGGGATGCCGCTGCCATCAAAAATATATCTACTCCATCACCTGGGGAGATGCAGCATAATTTAAAATATTTTTATCTGAAATCAGATGTTGCTATATCATCAAATAGAATGCCAAGTTATAATGACTGTATAGGTAAAATACAGAAATCTCAAAGAAATGTTATATTTATGGTAGCTTTGAGTACTGATCCTATGCGCCAGGAAACAAGGTCTTGGTTTTTTCCCCCCATTGTTAGGGGTAAAATATTAGGATGTAGGTCAAGCTTCTGTAATAGCCAAACATAGAGTGGCTCAAATAAGATAGAATTTTATTTTTTCACGTCATTGTTCATGTTAGGAAAGTGAGCTCTGTTCCTTGATGTCATCCAGGGACCCAAGCTGGCTGGACAACTAAGCTGTCTTACACATGACTTCCAAGGTTGTTCCATGCATTACCATTTTCAGGAGGCAAGAAAAATAGTGATGATAGTGGTGGTGATATTGGGGGAACATGCAGGTCAAGAACTTGATTTTAAGGACAGGAAGCAGAAGTTGTACTTGATGCCTTCATTCATATCCCATTGGTGTCAGTCTAGTAATGTGGTTACAACTAGCTGCAGAAGAAACAGGAAATGTCTCCCACTTGGTGGCTATGTGGCCAGCAAAAATTTGAGTAAGGCATTTCTATTATTAAAAGAAAGGTGAGAATACTTACTGGTGGACAATAGTAATCTTTGCTGTTTACTTTAGTGGAAATTTTTTAGAAGAACTCTCTGAGTGGTCTTAATCATTGTGAGCCATTTTATTCTGTAGTTAACTGTCTTTTTTGCTTGCTGTGCTCTTTGTCCTGTTATATTATAAAAGAATGACATGACCTTCATGGTCTAATCTTAGCGTGGGTATAAAACTGATTTGTATAAAACTGATTTGTTTATAACTACTTGGACTACTTCAAATAAGAACCTGTTTGTTTGTATCTTCTAGGGTTTACAGAGTCCACGGGGAATGGGATGCAAGCCAGAAGCTGTATGTAGTCACATTATTATTGAGAGCCATGAAAAGGGATGTTTCCGGACTCTAACTTCTGAACATCCACAACTAGATAGACACCCTTGTGCTTTCAGATCTGCTGGACCCTCAGAAATGACCAGAGGACGGCAGAACCCATCATCATGCAGAGCCAAGCATGTCAACCTTTCTGCATCCTTAGACCAGAACAACTCCCATTTCAAAGTTTGGAATTCCTTGCAGTTAAAAAGTCATTCCCCATTTCAGAACTTTATACCTGATGAATTCAAAATCAGCAAAGGTCTTCGAATGCCATTCGATGAAAAGATGGACCCTTGGCTGTCAGAATTAGTAGAACCTGCTTTTGTGCCACCTAAAGAAGTGGATTTTCATTCTTCATCACAAATGCCGTCCCCAGAACCCATGAAAAAGTTTACTACCTCCATCACTTTTTCATCTCACCGACATTCTAAATGCATTTCCAATTCCTCTGTTGTTAAGGTTGGTGTTACTGAAGGTAGCCAGTGTACTGGAGCATCTGTGGGGGTATTTAATTCTCATTTCACTGAAGAACAAAATCCTCCCAGAGATCTTAAACAGAAAACCTCTTCCCCTTCATCATTTAAAATGCATAGTAATTCACAAGATAAAGAAGTGACTATTTTAGCAGAAGGTAGAAGGCAAAGCCAAAAATTACCTGTTGATTTTGAGCGTTCTTTTCAAGAAGAAAAACCCTTAGAAAGATCAGATTTTACAGGCAGTCATTCTGAGCCCAGTACCAGGGCAAATTGTAGCAATTTCAAGGAAATTCAGATTTCTGATAACCATACCCTTATTAGCATGGGCAGACCAAGTTCCACCCTAGGAGTAAACAGATCGAGTTCCAGACTAGGAGTAAAAGAGAAGAATGTAACTATAACTCCAGATCTTCCTTCTTGCATTTTTCTTGAACAACGAGAGCTCTTTGAACAAAGCAAAGCCCCACGTGCAGATGACCATGTGAGGAAACACCATTCTCCCTCTCCTCAACATCAGGATTATGTAGCTCCAGACCTTCCTTCTTGCATTTTTCTTGAACAACGAGAACTCTTTGAACAGTGCAAAGCCCCATATGTAGATCATCAAATGAGAGAAAACCATTCTCCCCTTCCTCAAGGTCAGGATTCTATAGCTTCAGACCTTCCGTCTCCCATTTCTCTTGAACAATGCCAAAGCAAAGCGCCAGGTGTAGATGACCAAATGAATAAACACCATTTTCCCCTTCCTCAAGGTCAGGATTGTGTAGTGGAAAAGAATAATCAACATAAGCCTAAATCACACATTTCTAATATAAATGTTGAAGCCAAGTTCAATACTGTGGTCTCCCAGTCAGCCCCAAATCACTGTACATTAGCAGCATCTGCATCTACTCCTCCTTCAAATAGAAAAGCACTTTCTTGTGTTCATATAACTCTTTGTCCCAAGACTTCTTCCAAGTTGGATAGTGGAACTTTAGATGAAAGATTCCATTCATTGGATGCTGCTTCTAAAGCGAGGATGAATAGTGAGTTTAACTTTGACTTACATACTGTATCTTCGAGATCACTGGAACCAACCTCCAAATTATTGACCAGTAAACCTGTAGCACAGGATCAAGAATCTTTAGGTTTTCTAGGACCTAAATCTTCACTGGATTTCCAAGTCGTACAGCCTTCTCTTCCAGACAGTAACACTATTACTCAGGACTTGAAAACCATACCTTCTCAGAATAGCCAGATAGTAACCTCCAGGCAAATACAAGTGAACATTTCAGATTTCGAAGGACATTCCAATCCAGAGGGGACCCCAGTATTTGCAGATCGGTGAGTCTCATTGTGATAACAAGCAAGCTGGATGGACTTTGTAATAAAGGGTTTCAAATACTTAAGTAGATATCGGTTCTTGGGGGAAAGGCCGTGTGATTTCTCTGAGTGGAGGTTGTGTCTGGCTAATTACTAGAAGTCTTTCAAGGAATAAATGTGTTAAGTAAGAGAGAACATGTGACAGTAATGCATTTATATTTCAGAGGGCTTTTGGCAAGACTTGACATCAAGTGTTTTTAAAAATTGAATGACCTTGAAAAGAATCTTTGATCATCCAATGATACAATTACGAATTTATTTACTGTGTTGGACATATGCTGAAGATCTCCTTTGGAGGTTGCACACACATACATGGGTGCTTGGTCACTCTCTCTCCCGCTCTCCCTCTCTCTCTCTCTTCTCCAGCTCTCTGGTTCCATTTCATGACTTCCCTCAAATATTTAGTATTTACAAAGAAAGTGGCTTTACAGTGGAAAATCCTGGCAGATACCAGTTTAGTCAAATGATGAAGATTAGCATCGCCAGTAAAACATCTGTCAACATAATGTGCTCCCTGATATGATGCCCCACCTCATAGAGTATTGTAGGAAAGGAAACCCAATTCAGGGATAAGTTCGTTAGATTTATATTATTCAGCCCAATTTTAGCACATTGCCATTAATTCAGTTTTACTTAATGAGCCTCTTATGATATGGTGAAGCAGAACTACCTGTATGTTTAGTATTTTACCTTATAGTTGAAGAGGCATCGTACCACAGTGGAGAGCGCTAGGCTTGGAAAGGAGGAAGAAAGAAATGTTTATTCATAATCTACATGTGGTAGTAGTCATGGCAATAAGGAACTTAGATATGCTATCCTACTTAGTTCTCATCATGATCCTATGAAGCAGGTGATGATATCTCTATTTTCCTACTGGGAAATCTTTTGTGCCAAAAGATGTTGTTTGTGGGCAAGAGAAAGAGCATTCAAATGCATTCTGTTTAATCAGAGTAAGGATTTGTTCCTCTACACAGTACTCTGTCCTAGAATTTGAACCCTAATTCCAACACTTCCAACCATGATGCTGGACAACTGATTTAATATCCTTGGCACTCATATGTAGAAGGAAAGGGTTGGAATGCTGAAAAGTCCCTTATAGCTCTAAAAGTTAGGGATTGAGATAATAGATTGGGGCAAAAAAACAAGGTCAATCTCTGATTTCAATGTTAAAAATAGTAGAGTGCCATAGAGATCAGTAATGATACCTTTAAAATTTTTTTCTTTGAGACAGAGTCTCGCTCTGTCACCCAGGCCAGAGTACAGTGATGTGATCTTGGTTCACTGAAACCTCCGCCCCCTGGGTTCCCGTCCCGCCTCAGCCACCTGAATAGCTGGGACCACAGGCGTGCACCACCATGCCTGGCTAATTTTTGTATTTTTAGTAGAGACGAGGTTTTGCCATGTTGGCAAGGCTGGTCAGTATTGATACTTAAAAAAAAAAAAAAAAGTTTAGAAATTAAAACATTGACAATTTCATATACAATTTTTAAACTCTTCAAAGGTTAAATGCTAAGGTATTGTACTGAATACCTTAAAAATGAGATAAAGCTATGAATGAGAAGAAAGTAATAGATGATTATATATATGAACTAACAATAATGCCATTTGTTCAGGGTGTACGTTTGTAGTGGATGCTTATATTATACTTAGTGTAATAATCAGAAATAGATATTATTACCTCAGTTGTGGATTTAAAAAACCTGAGACTTAGAGAAAATATTTTGCCCAAGATCACATGGCCATTGAGCATTGGAGGTGGCATTTGAACCTAGGTTTATCAAACTCCACAGTCCATAAATAAGGCAAACTACACACACACACACACACACACACACACACAGATGCATAAAACATATATATATAAGTAAATATATATATAATACCTTATAAAATATTTATAAAGGGCTGGGTGCGGTGGCTCACACCTGTAATCCCAGCACTTTGGGAGGCCAAGGTGGGCGGATCACCTGAGGTTGAGAATTTGAGACCAGCATGATCAACATGGAGAAGCCCCATCTCTACTAAAAATACAAAATTAGCTGGGCATGGTGGCACATGCTTGTAATCCCAGCTACTCAGGAGGCTAAGGCAGGAGAATCGCTTGAACCTGGGAGGCGGAGGCTGCAGTGAGCCAAGATTGCACCACTGCACTCCAGCCTGGCAACAAAGCGAGACTCTGCCTCAAAAAAAAAATTTATAAAGTATGTATGTATAAAATATTTATAAAGTATATGTGTATAAAATATATTCAAACTTTTTCATTTTGAGATAATTTTAGACTTAGGAGTTGCAGAAATAGCACAGAGAGTTTCTGTATTATCTATTGCTGTGTATCATGTTACCCTGAAATATAGCAACTTAATAAACGTGAAAATTTATGTAGGTCAGAAATCTAAATGTAGCTTATTTGGGTACTTCTGGCTTAGGTTGTCTCAGAACGTTGCAAACAAGGTATTGGCTGCAAATGTGGTCTCATCACAGGGCTTGCCTGAGAGGATATGCTTCCAGCCTCACTCACATGGCCATGGCTTTGGCCAGAGACATGGGCTTTTTGATTCTATAAGGCACTCATAATATGACACCTAAGCTTCCCTTAGTGAGGCAGTGAGAGGGCAAGAGAGGGTGCCCAAAACAAAAGCCACAGTCTTTTTGTAACCTACCCTTGGATGTGTCATCTCGTCACCTCTGCCACATTCTCTTCAGTAGAAATGAGTCACTGTCTAAAGCTCTCACCCAAGGGTTGGGAATTCCACAAGGTCCTGAATACCAGGAGGTAGATGTCATTGGGGGATATGTTAGAGGTTGTCCATGTAACCTTTACTGAAGCTTCCATTTATGTTAACATCTTACCGTAACATCATAACCATAAAATATTTATCAAAATAAGAAATTATTATTGGTGTAAAACTATATAGTCTAACATTGATTTCACCAGGTTTTTCCACAAATGAACCTTTTTTGTTTCAGATCCAACCCAGGATTCCGTCTTGCATTTTAGTTGTCATGTCTTAGACTCCTCCAATCTATGACAGTTTCCCAGTCTTTTTTTGTCTTTCATGACCTTGACGCTTTGAAGAGTGCTAATCAGTTATTTTGAAGAAGCTTCTTCAATTTAGCATTGTTTGATGGTTCAAGGTTAGATTAGGGTTATGCATTCTCAACACGTCACAACAGAGAGCACATTATGTTGATATACATTACTGGTGATGTTAACCTTGATCACTTGGCTAAAGTGGTATCTGCTAGGATTCTCCACTGTAAGGTTATTGTTTTTCCTTTGGAGATACTAAACATTTGAGGGAGATTTTGTTAGACTATACAAATAACCTGTTTCTGCTTAAACTTTGACTACTAATTTTAGCATTCATGAGTGGATCTTGGCTGTAGCAGTTATTACTCTGGTGTTTTAATTTTTTTATGTCTGTCATCTCTTTTACATTTGTTAATTGGAATTCTTCTGTAAGGAGAATTGTTCTTCCCTCATTTATTCCGCCCTAGGTTATTTATTTACATTACTGTAGACTCATTAGTGTTTATTTCATTATTTGGATTATAATCCAATGCTACCATTACTGTTTTGTTGCTCAAGTTCTCTTTTTAGCTCTTTAGAGCACTTTTAGGTTGGCTCCTGTACCCTGCCCCAGAGCTGGAATCAACTGTTTCATTAAAAATCCCTCTTTTTATTGTTGTTGTTGTTGTTGTTTTCTTTCTTTTTGAGCCGGAGTCTTGCTCTGTCACCCAGGCTGGAGTGCAGTGGCGTGATCTTGGCTCACTGCAACCTCCACCTCCCGGGTTCAAGCAATTCACCTGCCTCAGCCTCCAGAGTAGCTGGGATTACAGGTCTGCACCACCAAACCCAGCTAATTTTCTGTATTTTTAGTAGAGACAGGGTTTCACCATGTTGGCCAGGCTGGTCTTGAACTCCTGACCTCAGGTGATCTGCCCACCTCGGCCTCCCAAAATGCTGTGATTACAGACGTGAGCCACCATGCCCAGCCAAAAAACCCTCTTATTTTTGAAGGGAGGAAGGAGTACAGTATTTAGAAAGCAAGATGTAAGGACCTGGCATGCTCATTGCTGGTGGGATGTTGCTGTGTCTAGCCTTTCTCAGTGAATAAAGCTAAGAAATATAGGTAGATTTGTAAATTTATGTGTATACTCATATCTGTATCTTTTAACGTGTGTGTGTGTTTTAAATCATGTGTCCATATTGATACCTCTGACTCTAGTACAGATCCACAAGGTTGATTCTAGCCTTTCCCCTTTCTTTATTTGTAACTTCTGTCTCTAATAGCGATAAAACTGGCTCTCATTATCTGTAATATATTTACCCTAATATATAAATAGTTTCAGAATTCATAGCCCCTACCCACATGAAAAACAAATTCTGCATCTAGAGTACAGTGTTTATCTGCAGTTTCGAAGTTATCATTAAAATATCTAGACAAAAATGCTGTTTGCTAAAGTTTCTTAAGTCAGCATCTCCCTTCCCCATATTCTTCAGTATGAGTACGTGATTCATTTATAATATAGATTCATTAGTCACATTCTGCATTCCATCTTTGCCTCATATCCTGGTTCACCTTTGAAAATTTCCGTACTTATAAATTTCACTTTCTGTGCTTTACAATTCTATCCATTGCTACAGTTTCATATGAGCAGTTCCATCAATCCCCAAATTCCCCTATGCCGTTCCTTTGGAGACAGTCTTTCCTCTGATCCCTCACCCCTGGCAGTCCCTGGTCTGTATTCTTCCTTAGAGTTTTGCCTTTCTAGAGTGTCACACAAATGGAATCATAAAATATGTAACAGCCTTTTGGGTCTGAATTTTTTACTTTGCAAAATGCATTTGACACATCCATCTTGTGTGGATCAGTAGTGCTTTTTTATTGCTTTATTAAATGCAGTAATATTTTATTGTAATTGAGTTTGTTTATCCATTCACTCACTGAAGGATATTTGAGTTGTTTCTAGTTTGGGACCATTAAAATTAGAACTGCTGTAAACATTTATATACAGGTTTTTGTTTCTCTACAGTAAATACTAAGAAAGAGGATTCCTGAGTTATATGGTACAGGTGTATATTTAACTTTGTAAGAATTATTCAGAGCTAAACTAATACTGGTTTTTCAGAGTGTCTGTATCATTTTGCATTCCTGCTAGCAATGGGTGAGCATTCTAGTTACTCCACATCCTCACCGATGTGTAAATTGTCAATATATTTTAGCCATTTTTATAGTTGTACAGTGGTATCTCAACATAGTTTTAATTTGCATGTCCTTCCTTAATGGCTAATTATTATGAACACCGTTTCAAGAGCTTATTTGCCATCCTCTTCGGTGAAGTGCTTTTTAAATAGGGTTGTTTGCTTTCTTATTGGTGAGTTTTGAGAGTTCTTAATATATTCTGGATACGAGTCTTTTCTGGATATGTTATTTGCAAATATCTCTTCACAGTATGCGACTTGTCTTCTTATCCTCTTAAAAAAGGCTTTCAAAAAACAAAGGTGTTTCCTTTTGATCAAGTCCAATTAATTGATTTTTAAATGGATCGTGTGATTGGGTTGGCAATACTTTCCTTTCAGCACTTAAAAAATATGCTCCTTCCTTCTGGATTCCATGGTTTCTGGCAAAAAATTCATAGTCATTTGAGTCATTGTTTTCTATGTAAGAACAATGTGTTATTTTTCTCTGATTATTTTAATTTTTTTCCAGCACATTGATTATGCTTCTAGATATGGGTTTCTTCTTTTTTTTAATTTTTAAATTTTCATTTCAGTAGTTTTTGGGATAAAGGTTGTTTTGGTTACATGGATAAGTTCTTTAGTGGTGATTTCTGAGATTTTAGTGCACCCATCACCCGAGTAGTATGCACACCATACCCAATATGTAGTTTTTTTAAGCCCATAGGTTTACAGGCATACCTCAGATATATTGCAGGTTCAGTTCCAGACCACTGCAATAAAGCCGGTCACCTAAATTTTTTGGCTTCCCAGTGCATGTACAAGTTATGTTAACACTATACTGTACTCTATGAAGTGTATAATAGCGTTATGTCTAAAAAAATGTACCTACCTTAATTTAAAAATTGTCGTTGGTTGATGGGCACTTAGGTTTTTATGAGTTACTTCACTTAGAATAATGGCCTCCAGCTCCATCAAAGTTACTGCAAAAGACATTATTTCATTCCTTTTTATGGCTGAGTAGTATTCCGTGGTGTATATATACCACATTTTCTTTATCTACTCATTGGTTGATGGGCATTTAGGTTTTTATGTCTTTGCAGTTGCAAATTGTGCTGCTGTACAAGTGTGTGCACGTGTCTTTTTAATGTCTTCTTTTTCTAGGTATAGATTTCTTTGGTACATCTTGTTTGGGGTTTGCTGAGTTTTTTTAAGCCTATAGGTTTACAGGCATACCTCAGATATATTGCAGGTTCAGTTCCAGACCACTGCAATAAAGCCGATCACATGAATTTTTTGGTTTCCCAGTGATAATACAAGTGATGTTTACACTATACTGTACTCTATTAAGTGTATAATAGTGTCATGTCTAAAAAAAGTACATACCTTAATTTAAAAATTCTTTATTGTTTAAAAATGCTAACAATTATTTGAACCTTCAGTGAGTTACTTTTTGCTGGTGGCAGTCTTACCTTGATGTTGGTGGCTGCTAACTGCTCTGGGTGGTGATTGCTAAAGATTGAGGTGGCTGTAGAAATTTCTTTTTTTTTTTCTTTTTAATTTTCATTGGTACATAGTAGGTGTATATGTTTATGGGTACATGAGATGTTTGATACAAGCATGCAGTGTGAAATAAGGACATTGTGAAGAATGGGGTACATCCCTTCAAGCATTTTTATCCATTGAGTTGCAAACAATGCAATTACACTAAGTTATTTTAAAATGTACAGTCATTATTTACTATAGTCACCCTTTTGTGTTACATAGTAGGTCTTATTCATTCTTTCTATTTTGTGTGTGTGTGTGTGTGTGCCCATTAACCATCCCCATCTCTCCCCAAACCCCTCACTACCTTTCTCAGCCTCTGGTAACCATCCTTCTACTCTCTATGTCCATGAGTTCAATTGTTTGGATTTTTAGATTCCACAAATAAGTGACAACATGCAGTGTTTGTCTTTTTATGCCTGGTTTATTTCATTTAACGTAATGATCTCTAGTTCCATCCATATTGTTGTAAATGACTGGATCTCATCATTTTCTATGTCTGAATAGTACTCCACTGTGTATATGTACCACATTTTCTTACCCATCTATTGATGGACACATAGGCTGCTTCCGAATCTTAGCTTACCACAAACACTGCTGCAACAAACATGGGATTGCATTGAAACTGTAGATTGCTTTTGAGTAACAAAATCAGTCTTCCATATACTGATTTCCTTTCTTTTGGGTATATACTCAGCAGTGGGATTGCTGGATCATATTGTAGCTCAGTTTTTAGTTTTTTTAAGGAACCTCCAAACTATTCTCCTTAGCAATTGCACTAATTTACATTCCAAGCAATAGTATACAAGGGTTCCCTTTTCTCCACGTCTTCACCAGCATTTGTTATTGCCTGTCTTTTCCATATAAGCCATTTTAACTGGGGTGAGATGATATCTCATTGTAGTTTTTAGTTTTAGTGTTTTGATTGGATTATTAGATTTTTTCCTATGGAATTGTTTGAGCTCTTTATGTATTCTGGTTATTAATCCCTTGTGAGATGGGTAGTTTGCAGATATTCTCTTCCATTCTGTAGGTTGTCTTCTTCACTTTATTGATTGTACCCTTTGCTGTAAAGAAGCTTTTTAATTTGATGTGATCCCATTTGTCCATTTTCGCTTTGGTTACCTGTGCTTGTGGGGTATTGCTCAAGAAATTTTTGCCCAGACCAATATCCTAAAGATTTTCCCTCATGTTTTTCTGTAGTAGTTTCATGATTTGAGGTCTTAGGTTTAAGTTTTTAATCCATTTTGATTTGATTTTTGTATATGGCGAAAGATATAGAGTTCTAGCTTCATTCTTCTGCATGTAAGTATCCAGTTTTCATTTATTTCTGCTGTTTTATAGTTTTTGTCAGGGAATTCTGATATCTCTTTTATCCTAGCCTTGGTGTCTGTTCCCATGTGATTTAGTTTTTATATTTGTCTCTTCAAAATCTCATATTGAAATTTGATCCCCAGCATTAGAGGTGGGACCTAAAGAGAGATGTTTGGGTTATGGGGGCAGATCCCTCATGAATGGCTCAGTGACCTCCCTGTGGTAATGAGTGAGTTCTGGCTCGTAGTTCACCCAAGAGCTGGTTGTTTAAAAAAGAATGACTCCCCTCCTCCCCACCTTCCACTTCTTTTCTCTTCCCGTGTGATGTGGGCTCTCCCCTTACACTTCTGCTGTGATTGGAAGCTTCCTGAGTTCCTCACCAGAAGCAGATGCTGGTCCCATGCTTCTTACACAGCCTGCAGAACTGTGAGCCAAACAAACCTTTTTACTTGGTAAATTACCCAGCCTCAAGTATTCCTTAATAGCAGTGCAAACAGACTAAGACACCATTTGAGCTGAGATTTTTCTGGTTCTAAATATGATGAATAATTTTGGATTGTATTTCATAATGACGTGTTATGAAATGACAAGTCTTGTTTAAATGCCATAGAGAATGTTGATGTTTTTGTTTTAGCAGACAATGACCCAACTAGTTTCAGGTTAAAAATTCCAGCCAGCCTTCTGTAGGTTGTTGTTCCAAGTCCATTCAGTTTTCAAAGATTTTGCAGTGCTGTTCACATCTGTTGTCTGTGTGTGTGCCTAGTGGCCCTTTTCTAGGTACTTTTATCCCTTTTCTATGTACTTTCTGTGACTACATTGTGTCAGGGCTGAGTGGCACAGGACAGAAGGAGAAAAAGCCAACCAGGAGTGGTCACTCTTGAGACCACATTTCCTTTGGTGTAAGTTGAAGGTTTCCCTTCTTCAGAACTTTAGGCTCCTGCCAGCCTCTGTTACTGCTTGTACCATTGCCACCATGAGATTACTGGGATGCTATGACTAATATACAGAGATAAGGAAAAAGGGGATTCCACACTCTATATAGAGTGTTGGGAGACCCTTCTTTCATTCCTGAAGCCTGAACTAGAAGGCTTCGCTGTGAAGTCTTTCTCTCTATGCTAATATCCACTTTTAGGTTTCAGGCTATATTGAGTTCAGGCCAAGGAATGACAGAGGAAACAAAAATGATGGCAAACTCATTACCATTTTGATGATATTTCAGATTTTATGATCTTCAATCTGCCTGCTTCTGTTATTTTCCACAGTCTTCCAATAGCTGCTCCATGTAGTCTATCTAGGTTTTATAGCTCATCTCATCTAGGATTAGATACGCTAACCTGGAACTGGAACCACTTCTACTGTTTTTTGTTCCCATTAACTGCATATGTGAGTTTCAGTTATTCCACATCCTTGCCAACACTGGGTATTAACAGTTATTTTTAATTTCACTCATTCTAAATGTGAGTATGAAACAGTATGGTATTGTAATTTTAATTTGTATTTCCATGATGACTAATGATGCTGAGCATCTTTTCTGTGTCTCTTGCCCATTTGCATGATTTTATTTATGAAGTATCTGTTCACTTTTATCCATTGGATTATTTGTCTCAGTATTATAGGAATTTTTATAATATATTCCAGATACAAATCCTCTGTGTATTGTGAATATTTTCTCATAGTCTGTGGTGTGATTTTTGTTTTCTTAATGGTGTCTCTGGGGAACAGAAAGCTTTAATTTTGATGAATTCCACTTTGGTAATTTTTTTTTAATGATTAGTACTTTTTTGTGTCCTGATTAAGAAATGTTGCCTAATCAAGTGTTGTAAAAGTTTTCTCCTGTATTTTCATGTAGAAATGTTATGGTCTTAACTTTGTGATCAAGTCTGTGATCTGTTTCCAAATTCTCCTTTGTGGTGTAAGTTATGCAGTTGAGGATCATTTTCTTTCCTAGGAATATTCTAGCACCACTTTTCAAAAATGATTATTTCCTTATTGAAGTTAGTTGGAACCTTGGTCAAAATTAGTTGGCCTTATATGTGTAAGTTTTAGAGTTTCTACTCTGTTTCTTTGTTCTTTTTATTTATCTTTACACCAGTACCACAATGTCTTGATTACTGTAGCTTTATAGTAAGTCTTGAAATCAGGTTATGTCCTCCAACCTTGTTTTTGTTTTCAAAATTATTTTTGCTATTTCAAGTCCTTTGCATTTTCATACAAATTTTAGAATAAGCATACTGGGATTTTTTTGGGGATTGTATGGAATCTGTAGATCAATTTTGTAGATTGACATTTGAATTTTCAGTCTTCCTATGCATGAACATGGTGAGATTTTTCTTCCCCACTTATTTAAGTCATCTTTAATGTCCCCCGGTGACATATTGTAATTTTCGTTGTGTAGATTTTACACATCTACTAAATATATTCCTAAGTAGTTAATATACTATGGTATATGGCATTTTAAAATTTAAGTTTTCTCATTGTTCATTGCTTATATATAGAAATACTGTTGTCATGCCAATTTGTAGGTCCCAACAAGTTAATTTTAATTTTAATTTATTATTCTTTGGGTCAGAGCTTTCATGCCTACTGTGGGATGTTTTAGGGCAATGAGTGCTGTAGAGAATTTATACAAGGCAAAAGTTCCAGTGGTTGACATATATCTATTTGTTCTCTGTTTTATGTTCAGTAACTCCTCTAAGATTTCAAGAGTTTCTTCTTTAAATTTACTGGGATCCTCAGGTATAAAGTCTATTCTTCATACATAATCATTTCACCAGAGAACAGAGCAGTTTTACTCCTTCCTTTGCAGTTCTCATGCCTTTTATTTCTTTTTCTTGCTTAATGCACTGGCTAGAACATTGAATATGATACCAAAACAAGTAGTAAAAGCAGACATCTTGCCCTGTTCCCTATTCCTGGAGGGCAGGAGAGTAGAGTAGTGTTTTGTCATTAAGTTTAATATTACCTGTAGATTTTTAATGGGTGCCTTTTATCAGCTTGAGGATGTTTTCTAAGTGAGTTTTATCATGAATGGGTGTTTAATTTTTCAGATGTTTTTCCTGATCTATGGATATGATCATACATGTTTTCTCCTTTTTTCTACTGATGTAGTGAATTACATTGGTCCAGTTGATCAACTGTATTGTTGAAATTGTCATCTTTACTGAATTTTTATCTGCTTGTTTAATCAGCATTTGAAAACAGCATACATCTCCAGTTATGTTTGTGTGTTTTCTGTTTCTCCTTTAGATCTTCTTTGGAGTATTTTGTGGGGAGGGGAACAATAACAAAGTTATAGAAAAGGTAAATATGGCACAAGGAACTTCTCTTTCTCCTTAGTTATTTGGGAATACGTTGTTGACCTGCTGCACAATCACTTTCGTGTAATATAGTCTCATTTCCTATAAAAGGACATTCTCCTATAGGACCACAATAAAACCATGAGAATTAGGAAATTCATACTAGTGCATTACAGACATTATTTAGATTTCTCCAGTTCTCCCAGTAATGTCTTTTTTTTTATTTTTATTTTTTTATAACACTTTAAGTTTTAGGGTACATGTGCACAATGTGCAGGTTAGTTACATGTGTATACATGTGCCATGCTGGTGTGCTGCACCCATTAACTCGTCATTTAGCATTAGGTATATCTCCTAATGCTATCCCTCCCCCCTTCCCCGACCCCACAACAGTCCCCAGAGTGTGATGTTCCCCTTCCTGTGTCCATGTGTTCTCATTGTTCAATTCCCACCTATGAGTGAGAATATGCAGTGTTTGGTTTTTTGTTCTTGCTATAGTTTACTGAGAATGATGATTTCCAATTTTATCCATGTCCCTACAAAGGACATGAACTCATCATTTTTTATGGCTGCATAGTATTCCATGGTGTATATGTGGCACATTTTCTTAATCCAGTCTATCGTTGTTGGACATTTGGGTTGGTTCCAAGTCTTTGCTGTTGTGAATAGTGCCGCAATAAACATACGTGTGCATGTGTCTTTATAGTAGAATGATTTATAATCCTTTGGGTATATAGCCAGTAATGGGATGGCTGGGTCAAATGGTATTTCTAGTTCTAGATCCCTGAGGAATCGCCACACTGACTTCCACAATGGTTGAACTAGTTTACAGTCCCACCAACAGTGTAAAAGTGTTCCTATTTTTCCATGTCCTCTTTATCACTTTAAAACTCAATAAAGTTGTGGCTGTTAGGTGCCTTTATCATTTTAAAACTCAATAAGGTTGTGGCTGTTAGGTACCTTTTCATCCCACAGTAGGCATGAAAGCTCTTAGGCACCTTAATACCCCAAACAAGATACTCTTTTCCCTTTTGTAATTAAGTGTTTTATGGAAGGTATGTTTAAATTATGTAAACATCTTATTCATCAGCAAACTTACTTATTAATTTGTATCTGTACAGAATCTTCCTTATTTTATTCAGTGAGTTATGATCAATTTCTACCTTTTTTCTTTTTAACTTGTTATTTGAAAATACATATAGACTCACAAGAAAAATATGTGACTCACAAGAGGTTACAAAAATAGCCAAGGGAGGTCCCCACTCAGCTTCCCCATTGATAATGTCCTTACATAACTATAATGCATTATCAAAACCAGTAAATTGATATTGGCACAATACAGTCAAGTGGACTACAGACGCTAATCAGATTTCACAAGTTTTTGCATGCACTCAGTTATTCTAATGCATATATGTGTAATTCTGTAAAATTTAAACACATGTATAGCTTTATGTAACCGCCATCATAATCAAGATACAGAAGTGCTCTGTCACTGTGAAGGAATTCCCTTGTGCCTTCCCTTTTCTAGTCACACCCTGTTCCCTCAAGCCAGCCTTCTTTAACCCCTGAAAGCCAGTGATCTGTTTTTCTACTGTATAATTTTGTCATTTTGAGAAGTTATATAGATGGAATCCAACATGTTACATAGATGGAACATAACATGTAAACTTTGAGATGTGTTCTTCTTACTCAGCATACTCACCTGGAGATCCATTCAACTTGTGTGTATCAGTAGTTAATTTCTTTGTATTGGTCAGCATTCCATTATTTGGAATTTATACAGTATGTTTATCCATTCACCTGTTGAAGGACATTGTTTCCAATGCTTATTACTAATAAAGCTGTTATGAACATTCATGTACTTTTTTTTTTATACTTTAAGTTTTGGAATACATGTGCTGAATGTTCAGGTTTGTTACATAGGTATACATGTGCCATGGTGGTTTGCTGCACCCATCAACTCGTCATCTACATTACGTATTTCTCCTAATGTTATCTCTCCCCTTGCTTCCTACCCCACAACAGGCCCCAGTGTGTGATGTTCCCCTCCCTGTGCCCATATATTCTCAACTCCCACTTATGAGTGAGAACATGGAGTGTTTGGTTTTCTATTCCTGTGTTAGTTTGCTGAGAATGATGGTTTCCAGCTTCATCCATGTCCCTCCAAAGGACATGAACTCATTCTTTTTTATGGCTGCATAGTATTCCATGGTATATATGTGCCACATTTTCTTTATCCAGTCTAATATTGATAGGGATTTGGGTTGGTTCTAAGTCTTTGTTATTGTGAATAATGCTGCAGTAAACATACATGTGCATGTGTCTTTATAGTAGAATGATTTATAATCGTTGGGGTATATACCCAGTAATGGGATTGCTGGTCAAATGGTATTCTAGTTCTAAATCCTTGAGGAATCACCACACTGTCTTCCACAATGGTTGAACTAATTTACACTTCCACCAACAGCATAAAAGCATTCTTGTTTCTCCACATCCTCTCCAGCATCTGTTGTTTCCCAACTTTTTAATGATTGCCATTCTAACTGGTGTGAGATGGTATCTCAGTGTGGTTTTGATTTGCATTTCTCTAATGACCAGTGATGATGAGCTTTTTTTCATGTTTGTTGGCTGCATAAATGTCTTCTTTTGAAAAGTGTCTGTTTATATCCTTCGCCCACTTTTTGATGGGGTTGTTTGTTTTTTTCTTGTACATTTGTTTAAGTTCCTTGTTTTCATTCTTAAGTAAATTAAGTTTCCTTGATTTTTGTTCTTTTGCATTTGCTGAGGAGTGTTTTACTTCCAGTTATGTGGATCTCAGCCCTTTTTCAGATGGATAGACTGCAAAATTTTCTACCATTCTGGAGGTTGCCTGTTTACTCTAATGATAGTTTCTTTTGCTGTGCAGAAGCTCTTTAGTTTAATTAGATCTAATTTGTCAAGTTTGGCTTTTGTTGCCATTGCTTTTGGTGTTTTAGTCATGAAACCTTTGCCCATGCCTATGTCCTGAATGGTATTGCCTAGGTTTTTTTGTAGGGTTTTTATGGTTTTAGGTCTTACATTTAAGTCTTTAATCCATCTTGAGTTAATTTTTGTATAAGGTGTAAGGAAGGGATCCAGTTTCACTTTTCTGCATATGGCTAGTCAGTTTTCCCAGCACTATTTATTAAATAGGGAATCCTTTCTCCATTGCTTTTGTCAGGTTTGTCAAAGATCAGATGGTTGTAGATGTGTGGTGTTATTTCTGAAGCCCCTGCTCTGTTCCATTGGTCTATGTATCTGTTTTGGTACCAGTACCATGCTGTTTTGGTTCCCGTAGCCTTGTAGTATAGTTTGAAGTCAGGTAGCATGATGCCTCCAGCTTTGTTCTTTTTGCTTAGGATTGTTGTGGCTATACGGGCTCTTTTTTGGTTCCATATGAACTTTAAAGTAGTTTTTTCTAATTCTGTGAAGAAAGTCAATGGTAGCTTGATGAGGATAGCATTGAATCTATAAATTACTTTGGACAGTATGGCCATTTCACAATATTGATTCTTCCTATCCATGAGCATGGAATGTTTTTCCATTTGTTTGTGTCCTCTCTTATTTCCTTGAGCAGTGGTTTGTAGGTCTCCTTGAAGACATCCTTCACATCCATTGAATGTTGTATTCCTAGGTATTTTATTCTCTTTGTAGCAATTGTGAATGGGAGTTTGCTCGTGATTTGGCTCTCTATTATTGGTGTATAAGAATGCTTGTGATTTTTGCACATTGATTTTGTATCCTGAGACTTTGCTGAAGTTGCCTATCAGCTTAAGGAGTTTTTGGGCTGAGATGATGGGGTTCTCTAAATATACAATCGTGTCATCTGCAAACAGAGATAATTTGACTTCCTCTCTTCCTATTTGAATACCCTTTATTTCTTTCCCTTGCCCGATTGCCCTGGCCAGAACTTCCAATACTGTGTTGAATAGCAGTGGTGAGAGGCCATCCTTGCATTGTGTCGGTTTTCAAAGGGAATGTTTCCAGCTTTTGCCCATTCAGTATGATATTGGCTGTGGGTTTGTCACAAATAGCTCTTATTTTTTTGAGACATGTTCCATCAATACCTAGTTTATTGAGTGTTTTTAGCATGAAGGGGTGTTGAATTTTATCGAAGGCCTTTTCTGCATCTATTGAGATAATCATGTGGTTTTTTGTTATTGGTTCTGTTTATGTGATGGATTACATTTATTGATTTGTGTATGTTGAACCAGCCTTACATCCCAGGGATGAAGCTGACTTGATCTTGGTGGATAAGCTTTTGAATGTGCTGCTGGATTAGGTTTGCCAGTATTTTATTGAGGATTTTTGCATCGATGTTTATCAGGTATATTGGCCTGAAATTTTCTTTTTTGTTGTGTCTCTGCCAGGTTTTGGTATCATGATGATGCTGGCCTCATAAAATGAGTTAGGGAGGAGTCCCTCTTTTTCTATTGTTTGGAATAGTTTCAGAAGGAATGGTACCAGCTCCTCTTTGTACCTCTGGTAGAATTCGGCTGTGAATCCATCTGGTCCTGGGCTTTTCTTGGTTGGTAGGCTATTATTGCCTCAATTTCAGAACTTGTCATTGGACTGTTCAGGGATTTGACTTCTTCCTGGTTTAGTCTTGGGAGGGTGTATGTGTCGAGGAATTTATCCATTTCTTCTAGATTTTCTAGTTTATTTGCGTAGAGGTGTTTGCAGTATTCTCTGATGGTAGTTTGTATTTCTGTGGGATCAGTGGTGATCTGCCCTTTATCATTTTTTATTGTGTCTATTTGATTCTTCTCTCTTTTCTTCTTTATTAGTCTGGCTAGTGGTCTATCTATTTTGTTAATCTTTTCGAAAAACCAGCTCCTGAATTCGTTGATTTTTTTGGAAGGGTTTTTCGTGTCTCTATTTCCTTCAGTTCTGCTCTGATCTTAGCTATTTCTTGTCTTCTGCTAGCTTTTGAATTTGTTTGCCCTCGCTTCTCTAGTTCTTTTAATTGTGATGTTAGGGTGTCGATTTTAGATCTTTCCTGCTTTCTCCTGTGGGCATTTAGTGCTATAAATTTCCCTCTACACACTGCTTTAAATGTGTCCCAGAGATTCTGGTATGTTGTGCCTTTGTTCTCATTGGTTTCACAGAATTTATTTCTTGCTGCCTTGATTTCGTTATTTAGCCAGTAGTCATTCAGGAGCAGGTTATTTAGTTTCCATGTAGTTGTGCGGTTTTGAGTTTTCTTTTCTCTTTTCTTTTCTCTTTTCTTTTCCTTTCCTTTCCCTTTCCCTTTCCTTTCCTTTCCTTTCCTTTCTTTTCTTTTCTTTCCACCCTGCCCTCCTTTCTTCTTCTTCTTTTTTTTTTTTTTTTTCCGAGTCTCACTCTGTTGCCCAGGCTGGAGTGCAGTGGCGCGATCTCGGCTTACTGCAAGCTCTGCCTCCTGGGTTCACGCCATTCTCCTGCCTCTGCCTCCCAAGTAGCTGGGACTACAGGTGCCTGCCACCACGCCTGGCTAATTTCTTTTTGTATTTTTAGTAGAGACAGGGTTTCACTGTGTTAGTCAGGATGGTCTCGATCTCCTGACCTTGTGATCCACCCGCCTCGGCCTCCCAAAATGCTGGGGTTACAGATGTGAGCCACCGCACCCGGCTGAGTGAGTTTCTTAATCCTGAGTTCTAATTTGATTGCACTGTAGTCTGAGGGACTGTTTGTTATGATTTTCATTCTTCTGCATTTTCTGAGGAGTGTTTTACTTCCAATTATGTGGTCAATTTTAGAATAAGTGCTATGTAGTACTGAGGAGAATGTATATTCTGTTGATTTGGGGTGTAGAGTTCTGTAGATGTCTATTAGGTCTGCTTGGTCCAGACCTGAGTTCAATTCCTGAATATCCTTGAGCTGAGTTCAAGTCCTGAATATCCTTGTTAATTTTCTGTCTCGTTGATTTGTCTAATATTGACAATGGGGCTTTAAAGTCTCCCACTATTACCGTGTGGGAGTCTAAGTCTCTTTGTAGGTCGCTAAGAACTTGCTTTATGAATCTGGGTGCTCTTGTATTGGGTGCATATATATTTAGGATAGTTAGCTCTTCTTGTTGCATTGATCCGTTTACCATTATGTAATGCTCTTCTTTGTCTTTTTTGATCTTTGTTGGTTTAAAGTCTGTTTTATCAGAGACTAGGATTTCAACCCCTGTTTTTTTTTGTTGTTTTGTTGTTGTTGTTATTTTTTGCTTTCCATTTGCTTGGTAGATCTCCCTCCATCCCTTTATTTTGAGCCTATGTGTGTCTTTGCACATGAGATGCGTCTCCTGAATACAGCACACCAATGGGTCTTGACTCTTTATCCAGTTTGCCAGTCTGTGCATTTTAATTGGGGCATTTAGCTCATTTACATTTAAGGTTACTATTGTTAGGTGTGAATTTGATCCTGTCATTATGATGCTAGCTGGTTATTTTGCCCATTAGTTGATGTAGTTTCTTCATAGTGTTGATGGTCTTTACATTTTATTATTATTATTATTATTTTTGCAGTGACTGGTACTGGTTTTTCCTTGCCATATTTAGTGCTTCCTTCAGGAGGTCTTGTAAGGCAGGCCTGGTGGTGACAAAATCCCTCAGCATTTACCTGTCTGTAAAGGATTTTATTTCTCCTTCACTTATGATGCTTAGTTTGGCGGGATATGAAATTCTGGGTTGAAAATTCTTTTCTTTAAGAATGTTGAATGTTGGCCCCCACTCTCTTCTGGCTTGTAGGGTTTCTGCCAAGAGATCTGCTGTTAGTCTGATGGGCTTCCCTTTATGGGTAACCTGACCTTTGTCTCTGGCTGCCCTTAATATTTTTTCCTTCATTTCAACCTTGGTGAATCTGACGATTATGTGTTTTGGGGTTGCTCTTCTTGAGGAGTATCTTTGTGGTGTTCTCTGTATTTCTTGAATTTGAATGTTGGTCAGTCTTGCTAGGTTGGGGAAGTTCTCCTGGATAATATCCTGCAGAGTGTTTTCCAACTTGGTTCCATTCTCCCTGTCACTTTCAGGTACACCAATCAAACGTACGTTTAGTCTTTTCACATAGTCCCATATTTCTTGTCTTCACACTTTATTTCATGAAGTTGATCTTCAGTCTCTGATATCCTTTCTTCCACTTGGTCGATTCAGCTATTGATACTTATGTATGCTTCTCGAATTTCTCATGCTGTGTTTTTCAGCTCCAGCAGGTCATTTATGTTCATCTCTAAACTGGTTATTCTAGTTAGCAATTCCTCTAACCTTTTATCAATGTTCTTAGCTTCCTTGCATTGGGTTAGAACATGTTCCTTTAGCTCGGAGAAGTTTGTTATTACCCACCTTCTGAAGCCTACTTCTGTCAATTTGTCAAACTTATTCTCCATCCAGTTTTGTTGCTGGTGAGAGTTGTGATCCTTTGGAGGAGAAGAGGCATTCTGGTTTTGGAATTTTCAGCCTTTTTGCACTGGTTTTTCCTCATCTTTGTGGATTTATCTACCTTTGGTCTTTGCTGTTGGTGAACTTCAGATGGAGTTTTTGCGTGGTCGTTCTTTTTGTTGATGTTGATGCTTTTGCTTTCTGTTTGTTAGTTTTCCTTCTAACAGTCAGGCCCCTCTGCTGCAGGTCTGCTGGAGTTTACTGGGGGTCCACTCCAGACCCTGTTTGCCTGGGTATCACCAATGAAGGCTGCAGAACAGCAAAGTTTGCTGCCTTCTCCTACCTCTGAAGTTTTGTCCCAGAGGGGCACCCGCCAGATGCCAGCCAGGGCTCTCCTGTGTGAGGTGTCTGTCGACCCCTGCTGGTAGGTGTCTCCCCACCAGGAGGCACGGGGGTCAGGGACCCACTTGTGGAGGCATTCTGTCCCTTAGCAGGGCTCGAGGGCTGTCCTGGGAGATCTGCTGCTCTATTCAGAGCTGGCAGGCAGGAACGTTTAAGTCTGCTGAAGCTGTGCCCACAGCTGCCCCTTCCCCCAGGTGCTCTGTCCCAGGGAGATGGGAGTTTTATCTATAAGCCCCTGACTGGGGCTGCTGCCTTTCTTTCAGAGATGCCCTGCCCAGAGAGGAGGAATCTAGAGAGGCAGTCTGGGCTTCACCCAGTTGGAAATTCCCAGCGGCTTTGTTTACACTGTGAGGGGAAAACTGCCTACTCAAGCCTCAGTAATGGTGGATGCCCCTCCTCTCACAAAGCTTGAATATCCTAGGTCGACTTCAGGCTGCTCTGCTGGCAGTCAGAATTTCAGGCCAGTCGATCTTAGCTTGCTGGACTCCTTGGGGGTGGGATCCACTGAGCTAGACCACTTGCCTTCCTGGCTTCAGCCCCCTTTCCAGAGGAGTGAACGGTTCTGTCTTGCTGGCATTCCAGGCGCCACTGGAGTATGAAAAGAAAACTCCTGCAACTATCTCGGTGTCTGCCCAAATGGCCGCTCAGTTTTGTGCTTGAAACCAGGGCCCTGGTGGTATAGGCACCCAAGGGAATCTCCTGGTCTGTGGGTTTCGAAGACTGTGGGAAAAGCCTAGTATCTGGGCTGGAACAGTCCTCATGGCTTCCCTTGGTTAGGGGAGGGAGTTCCCCAACCCGTTGTGCTTCCCGAATGAGGCGACACCCCCACCCTGCTGCTGCTCACCCTCTGTGGGCTGCACCCACTGTCTAACCAGTCTCAATGAGATGAACTGGGTACCTTAGTCGGAAATGCAGAAATCACCTGCCTTCTGCGTTGGTCTTGCTGGGAGCTGCAGACTGGAGCTGTTCTATTTGGCCATCTTGCCCGGGAATCCCTCATGTACTTGTTATTACATGACCATAAGTTTTTTATTTCTCTATGACAGTGGGTCTCAACTAGGAGTGATTTTACCTCTCAGGGAACATGGGAAATGTCTGAAGACATTTTTGATTGTAATGACTAGGAAAGAAATGCTACTGGTGTCTAGTAAATAAAACATAGAGGTGCTGTGGAATATCCTAGAATGCACAAGACAGTCCTCCACAACAAAGAATTGTTTCAAAATGTCAGTGCTGAGGTTGAGAAACTGCACTAGGATTAAGACCCAGGAGTGTGATTATTGAGTTGTACGTAAGTATATGTTTAATTTTATAGGAAACTGCCAGAGTGTTTTCCAGAGTGGTTATAACATTTTGCATTTCCAATAACAATGTGTGAGAGATCAAGTTCCTCCACATCCTCATCAGCATTTATACTGTCAGTATTTTTTATATTTTTATTTTTTTGAGATGGAGTCTCACTCTGTCACCCAGGCTGGAGTGCAGTAGCATGATCTCAGCTCAGTAGCAGGATCTCAGCTCACTGCAACCTCTGCCTCCCGGGTTCAAGCGATTCTCCTGCCTCAGCCTCCCGAGTAGCTGGGACTACAGGTGCGTACCACCACGCCTAGCTAATTTTTATATTTTTAGTAGAGATGGGGTTTCACCATATTGGTGAGGCTGGTCTTGAACTCCTGACCTTGTGATCTGCCCACCTTGGCCTCCCAAAGTGCTGGGATTACAGGCGTAAGCTACCACGCCTGTCCACTGTCAGATTTTTTTTTTTTTTAATTTAGCCTTCCTGATTGGTATATAGGGGTTATCTCATTATTGCTTTAATTTGCATTTCTCTACTACTGACAATGAACATTTTTAATATGCCCATTTACTATCTATATGTTTTCTATTAAAATTGTTTTGCTCATTTTCTAATTGCATTTTTTTTACTGTTGAATTTAGAGAATCTTTATATATTCTGGATACAAATTCTTTATTAGATTTCAGACTTGCAAATTTTTACATTGTACAAAACCAAGTTTTCTTATTCTATTTATTGTTACTATTGTAATTTGTTTTGATGCTCAAAATACAGATTTGGTGGCCGGTGGCAGCCCCTTCAAGCTGGCTCTATATCCTTTTTGTATGTCCCCGTCATCTTTTGATCATGTCTTTGCTTTCTGGCACAAGATATTTCAGGCTCATCTTATACTTTTCTTTCTCCAGCTCTGGAATCAACTACTTCTCCAAGAAGCCTGTTCTTCCAGTGGAATGTGCTATTTAGAGGTTAGGATTTAAACACTAGGCATATGTGTTGCTCCCAGCCCTACACTTATTTACATTAATATTTATTTCTCTATCTGTATATATTAAAAACCATATGTTCATCTCATTTTTTACTTTTTTCTTTGTTTTTGTAACTTTCATATCTAATAGTGAGTAACCTCACTTCCAGTGTGCTTTATATAACGAATTCTCTCATTTCTTGCCAACCTCTCCCCAGCAAGGATGACCCTAACGCTCCACTTGGATTCAAACACTTTATTGTCTGTCTCCTTGGGTGGATGCTCTTTTCACCCTGCTTGGGCTTTGGCATTCCATGCTAGACCACTCCTCAACATGTATAGCACCCCTCCCTACTTGGTCTCTGACTTCCCTGTGTCAGAATGCTCATCACCCTCAACGTATGGACACTCTCCCCACCCCACGTAGGTTCTGACTCCCCATGCTGAACTACCCCCTCACATGGATTTCTTCCTCATGCTGCATAGGCTCATGACACCTCACATTGGTCTCCCTCTACTTGGATGCCCTCATCTTGTTTAGGATTTGACTCAAGATGTCAGGCTACGCCATTTAGACAGCCTCCTCACTCAGGTTCTGACATTCAAGGTCAGACTGACTCCTGTCACCCTGCTTGAGTAGTGACTCACCACACTGCCCTTACCCTGTATGACACCCTTCTCATCCTGCAGGAAATCTGACTTCCCAGCCTAGGCTATCTCTCTGTGTAGGTATTTTCCTTCTCTACTGCAGCTCTGCCACTCCATGTAAGGCCACCCCAGTGTGGAGACACCTACCTCATTCTGCTTGGGCTCTAACTCCACATGTCTGGTGGACCTCCCTCTTCATGGAAGCCCTCCATATCCTGATTTGGTGCTTTTATTGCACACTAAGCCACACGTCTGCAGAGACTGTCTTCTTGCCCTGCTTGAATTCTAATACTCTGTGCTAGGACACTTCTTTACATGGGCACCTTCCTTACCCTAATGAGATTCTGATACCTTGCTCTGGCCCGTTGTCACTCCATTTGCTACAGATTCCCGCCTTGTTCTGCCTACCTAATGGTTTTAAGATTGTATTGTTTGGGATGGGAAAGATAAAAGAAAGGGAGAATAGAAACACAGGAGAGGGGAAAGAGAATAGGAAGCTTATTTTTTGTTACTTTGTGATTAATATATCTTTTCTCTCCTTTTACTTTCAACCTATCTGTGACCTCACAGTAAAGTGCATCACTTGTCAATGTCATATGGTTGAATGTTATTCATTTTTAATCTTGTCTGTTAATCTTTATCTTATAACTGAGATATTTAGTTCATTTACATTTAATATAATTATTGAGCTAGTTGATTTTGCTATCCTCTATTATTTTAGATTAATTAATTATTTTTATTCCATGCTATTTTCTCTATTGGCTTCTTTTACTTTTTTTTCTTTTAGTGGTTATTCTAGAGATTATAATATACTTCCTTGACTGTATAGTTTACCTTAAATTAGTACTTTTTTCGCTTTATGAGCAGCAAAGTATCTTAGGACAGTTGAACTCTATTTACTCACTCCTCCTATTTGTGCTTTTGTTGTCATATATTTCTGTTCTACATGTTCTGAATCCCACAGGACATTATTATTGTTGCTTTGAACAAACAACATTCTTTTCCATATATATGTATATAAGAAATATAAAGCAACGTAAAATATGTATATATACACAAGAGTGTATGTATGTATATGTACATGTATATATTTACATACACACATCCTTTAAGTGTTCTGCATTCTTTCTAGCAGTTCTGTACTATGTTGGATCATTTTCCTTCAGCCTAAAAAATTTCCTTTAGTATTTCCTGAAGTCTTCTGGGGATTATCTTAGTTTTTATTTGTTTGGTTTAAGAAATGTATTTCAGTTGGTTATAGAATTGTAGGTTTTTATTTCAGCACTTTAAAGAGCTACTATCTTTGTTGAAAGGCCAAGTGTCGTTCTTATTTTTGCACCTTTGATTTTCAGCAGTTTGGCTTTGATGCCCCAAGAGTTGGTTTTTCTTAGTATTACTTTGTGTTCACTGAGCTTCTTAACTCAGTAGATTAAGTCTTCTACCTGTTTTGGAAAATTCTTACCCATTAACTCATAAATATTGTTTCTGCACTCTTCCCTCTTCTCCTAGGAGTAAGATTACACATGTATTGGATTATATGACTGTGCCCCGTGAGTCTCTTATGCTGTCATCCGTTCGTTCTTTTTATGTTTGGCAGTTTTCTGTAGACTTTTTGAATTTACAAATTATTTTTACACAGTGTCTATTTGCTTCTACTACAGTTGAATCAGATTTTAGATAATGTATTTTTATTCTGAAATATTCATTTCTTTTTTTAATAGATTGTAGTTTTCTGTTGAGATTTTCCATATTTTATCTATTTCCCTTTATCTTTTGCTCTCAATATATTAATAACCATTTTGAAGTCTTTTTGTGCTAACTAGTAGCTAAATCCCCTGTAAATCAGTTTTTCTTGTCTATTTTTTCCTCTCAATTTTTGATCATTTTTTCCTGCTTCATATGTTACATAATGTTTTGTGTGTTGGATATTGTAAATAAGAGGATAATAGAGATTGAGGGTATTTGCATCTAGAGGGACTAGAAAAACAAGAGCAAGCCAACCCCAAAGCTAACAGAAGAAAATAAATAACGAAAATTAGAGCTGAACTGTATGAAATTGAGATGCGAAAATCCATACAAAAGATTAACTAAACCAAAAGTTGATTCTTCCAAAGAATAAACAAGATTGACAGACCACTAACTAAATTGTTAAAGAAAAAAGAAGACAAAATAAGTACAATCAGAAATGACAAAGGTGACATTATCACTGACTCCACAGAAATACACACACACACACACACACACACACACACACACACAAACTCAGAGACTATTATGAACACCTATTCACACACAAACTAGGAAACCTAGAAGAAATGGATAAATTCCTGGAAATATACAATCTCCCAAGATTGAGCCAGGAAGAAATGGAAATCATGAACAGACCAATAATGAGTTCTGAAATTGAGTCAGTAATAAAAAACTTCTTCACGACAAAAGAAACCGTCAGCATAGTAAATGAACAACGTACAGAATGGGACAAAATATTTGCAAACTGTGCATCCAACAAAGGTCTAATATCCAGAATCTGTAAGGAACTTAAGCAGTTCAACAAGCAAAGAACAACCCTATTTAAAAAATGGGCAAAGGACATGAACAGACGCTTCTCAAAAGAAGACATACTTGCAGCCAACAAATATATGAAAAAATGTTCCACATTACTAATCATTCAAGAAGTGCAAATGAAAACCACAATGAGATACCATCTCATGTTAGTCAGAATGTCTATTAATAAAAAGTAAAAAAAATAACAGGTGTTGGTGAGGTTGCAGAAGAAAGGGAAGGCTTGTACACTGTTGGTGGGAACATAACATAGTTCAGCCACTGGGGAAAACTGTGGAGATTCCTTAAAGAGCTTAAAACAGAACTACCATTCAACTCAGCAGTCCCATTACTGGGTATATACCCAAAACAAAATAAATCATTCTACTGAAAAAACACATATAATCAATATCATATTATTGCTATTCACAATAGCAAAGACATGGAATACAAAAAACAATTTTTGCTTTAAGCCTGACAGATCTTTGGTTTTTCAACAACTAAATATTGTAAGAACTCAGTTGAGGCTTTCAGGTGTTTGAACTCAGCTCTTTAGACTCTTTGCCCTCACAACTTTAGAATATGGTAAATGTTGTAAGGGGAACAACAGTCATGCATTTCTTGCAGTTAAACTTTCTCAAGGGAAATTCATTTCATTAGTACTCTTGCAAATAATTTTACTGTTTTTCTGACTCAGCCCCTTTATTGGGGTTGGCCCTTCTGACTTTTGACTGAGAGTCTAGTGAGTCTTTAATTCCTTACCTTTAAAAGTTCTCTCCCTCAAGCATTAGTTATTAAGCCCCCTGCCTTAAGCAGGTACAACATTTGGCAAATGTTTTAAGGAGGAGAGCTGATGTGTGTTTGTCCCAGGCCTCTCCATCTAGTGGGACTTGGTTTCTTATAGTGCCATGAGTATGAATGAGATTTCAGTCTATTACTCTGACTCAGCCCCCAGCCTCCCATACCACCAAAAAAAGGGAAATTGACCTTTTTTTTCTTTTCTCATAATTGTCCTTTTCAATTAGTGAATGGTAGACATACGGTAGAGACTCAAAAGTTCTACTTTTGTGATATATTCTAGATATTACTCTAATACAATATGACATTATTCTCTTTTCTTGAAACTTTATTTTCAAGTGATTTTTTGAAAGTTTTAGTCTTTTTTTTTTTTTTTTTCTTATAGAGACAAGGTGTTGCTCTGTTACCCAGGCTCTGGAGTACAGTGGTGCAGTCACGGCTCACTGCTGCCTCGAACTCTTGGTCTCAAGCAGTCCTCCTGCCTCAGCCTCCTCAGTTGCTGGGACTATAGGCGCATGCCACTGTGCCTATTTTTTTTATGTTTTGTAGAGACGATCTTGCTGCATTGCCCAGGGTGACCTCTAACTCCTTGGCTCAAGTGATCCTCCTGCCTCAGCCTCCCAAAGAACTGGGATCACAGATGTGAGGCACTGTGCCAGGCCTTATTTTCAAGTAATTTTAGAGTTACAAAAAAGAAACACGTATAGTAGAGTTCCTTATACCACTCTTCTAGCTTCTCCTGTTGTTAACATCTTTTTTTTTCATTTTATTTTTATTTTTATTTTTTTGAAGACAGAGTTTTGCTCTTGTTGCCCAAGTTGGAGTGCAATGGCGCAATCTCGGTTCATTGCAACCCCTGCCCGCTGGGTTCAAGTGATTCTCCTGCCTCAGCCTCCTGAGTAGCTGGGATTACAGGCATGCACCACCACGCCTGGCTAATTTTTGTATTATTAGTAGAGATGGGGTTTCACCATGTTGGCCAGGCTGGTCTCGAACTTTTGACCTCAGGTGATCCACCCACCTCAGCCTCCCAAAATACTGGGATTACAGGCGTGAGCCACCACGCCTGACCTATTTTTTATTTTTAAACTTTTAGGTTCAGGGGGTACATGTTCCAATTTGTTCTATAGGTAAACTTGTGTCATGGGGGTTTGTTTTACAGATTATGTCATCACCCAGGTACTAAGCGTGGTACCCAGTAGTTTTTTTTTTTTTTCTGTTTGTCTCCCCTGTCCCTCCACCCTCAAGTAGGCCCCAGTGTCTGTTGTTCCCCTCTTTGTGTCCATGAGTTCTCATCATTTAGCTCCCACTTATAAATGTGAGGATGCAGTATTTGGTTTTCTGTTCCTGCATTAGTTTGCTAAGGATAATGACCTCCAGCTCCATCCATGTTCTGCAAAAGACATGATCTTGTTCTTTTATATGGCTGCATAGTATTCTATGGTGTAAGTGTACCACATTTTCTTTATCCAGTCTGTCATTTATGGGGCATTTAGGTTGATTCATGTCTTTGTTATTGTGAATAGTACTATAATGAACATTTGTGTGCACGTGTCTTTATGGTAGAATGACATATATTTCTTTGGGTATGTACACAGCAATGGATTGCTGAGTCAAATGGTGCATCTGGTTTTAGCTCTATGAGGAATTGCCACACTGCTTTCTACAATGGTTGAACTAATTTACACTCCCACAAACAGTGTATAACCACTCCCTTTTCTCTGCAACCTTGACAGCATCTGTTATATTTTGACTTTTTTATAACAGCCATTCTGATTGATGTGAAATGGTATCTCATTGTGGTTTTGATTTGCATTTATGTAATCAGTGATATTGAGCTTTTTTCATATGCGTGGTGGCTGCATATATATCTTCTTTTAAAAAGTGTCTGTCATGTCCTTTGCCCACTAAGTTCCTTGTAAATGCTGGATACTAGACCTTTATCAGATGCATAGTTTGCAAATATTTTCTTCCATTCTATAGGTTGTCTGTTTGCTCTGTTGATAATTTTTCTTTTGCTGTGCAGAAGCTCTTATGTTTAATTAGATCCCACTTGTCAGTTTTTGCTTTCGTTGCAATTGCTTTTGGTGTCTTCGTCGTGAAATTGCCTGTTTCTGTGTCTGGAATGGTATTGTCTAGGTTGCATATGTGGTATCCACATCATCACTGGTGATGTTAACTGATCACTTGGATAAGGCAGTGCTTGCTAGGTGTCTCCAAGATGGAAATAAGTTACTATTTCTTCCTTCTTATACTCTGTTTTTTGAAATCCAGTCACTTAGTTCAGTGCATACACAAAGGAGGAGGGGAAGGTTAAGCTTAACCTTCTTTGGTGGGAGGTATTCACATCTGTTATCTGGACTTCTTCTTAAAGCAAAATTTGCTTCTTCTTTCCAATTATTTATGTGTTCAATTATTTACTTGCTCCACTCTGTTTTAATATTAATTCCCTATGATCTCAAGATATAACTGCAACCTTGAAAACTCCTAGTTCTCCCAGAACTCCTTGACAGAATGCTCTGTTTCTTGTTTATCTTTGTACACTGTGTGTATTTAGCACAGTCCCCTAATTTATGGTGGACATCTAGTAATTTAAAAAAATGTATTTTCAATTCAGCTGAAAAATAGCATTTCCTCAACTAAATTATATAATTTAACATTCTAAATTAAAAGTAGGTTTTAAGATAAAAGTAAACATGTGTGATAACATTGTATCAAACAAAATAAAGGGTACTGCTGAAATTTTACCTTAATAACGTTTGACATTGATGTGTCCACAATATATTCCTATAGCTACTTAAATATTCCTTGAAACCACTTTTGGAAAGAGATTTCAGTCTCTAATGGCCAAGGATATAATCTGCTGTATTCTTTCTCTTTTTTGGTCAGATTACCAGAGAAGATGAAGACCCCACTTTCTGCTTTCTCTGAAAAATTGTCATCTGATGCAGTCACTCAGATAACAACAGAAAGTCCAGAAAAGACCCTATTTTCATCTGAGATTTTTATTAATGCTGAAGATCGTGGACATGAAATTATAGAGCCTGGTAACCAGAAGCTACGCAAAGCTCCTGTCAAGTTTGCCTCATCATCTTCAGTCCAACAGGTTACTTTTTCTCGCGGCACAGATGGTAAGAGAATGTGATTGCATTTTAGATTGTTAGACCAGCTCTTTTGTGTAGTTATCTTAGAAATTTGTGGTTGTGTCTTTCTAGTCAGAAAACCTAATTTTAATTTAAGAATTAGGGTCCATATGATTATATCTGTCTTTTATTTGCATAGCTGTCAACAGAATATGATTTATTATATTTTATCTTAATTTCAAGCACAGTTAACATGTAGAACTCATGCTGTTTGTGTTAAAACTTAGTTTTGTCTCATCATATTTGCAATAAAAATGCAAGTAGTTCATAACAACTTGAAAGTAATTGAGGTCTGCTTTTAAAATGGCGGATAAATTATCTTGTATTACAGTAACAGTAATGTTATTACTATATAGTGCGTATATAGGGAGAGTATGTATATACTAAATACTATAACAAATAGATGCATAAACATGTGATAGTGCAAACACAATAGCAGTTTATCTCTTACTTATAAAGCAATCACCAGAGACCCAGGTTGTCTTCTTGCTCTGTTTTCTTTAAAATATATAACCCAAGGTTATGTTGGATTTACCTTCATGGTCAACAGGAAGGAACAAAAAGCATTGAGGAGCACATATAGGAGATGTTTACAGGTCAGGTCTGGAAGTAACCCAAATCACTTTCCACTGGCCAGGAATGTAGTTTAGCTGTGTTTTCCAAAATGAAGAAGAAATGGATTTTGGTGAATAGGTAGCAGTCTCTACCATAAGGTGAACATTTAGAGTGTTTTATATGCTATAGTTTCAGTGATATTTTGATAGTACTTTTACCATGTAACATTTAGAATTAGACCAAATTGTAAATTATTTTCTTTTTTTGAGTAAGTAGCAGGAAAATTAACAATTAAGTTTCCATTCTTCCCCAAATGAAGATGGAGACTTTACTAATTTTTAAAATATTTACTATTTTGGACAAGTCTACTCAAAGTACATCTTAAGTTTCTCTACTTATACAAAAAACTTGTCCACCTACACACGTAGATGGAATATACCTAAATGTAAAGAAAATTGTTTAGTTCAGCATTTAAATTGCATTGAATTTAAGTAAGTGCATTTATATACTAAGATGGTTATAATTCTTGAACATTTTTCTTGTGAAATTAAAGCATACCAAAAATATATATATAGTTTAATAAATTATCACGAAGAACACCTTTATGTGTTGGTTACCTGTTGTTACAGTGGTACAGTATAACAAACAACCTAAAAAATCTCTATGGTTTATAACAGCAGACATTTGTTTTTCTTACTCACAGGCTTATGGGTCAATTGGACTTTGGCTGGGCTGGCTGTAAGCTGCAGAAATGGTTTGGGTCTGTTCCAGATACTTCTTTCTGAGACTCAGGCTAATGGGTCAATAGCTATCCTAGAGTGTGGTGTTCTCATGGTGGTGGCAGAAACACAAGAGAGGAAACAGCTATAAAAGCAGTGCGCGGTGGCTCACGCCTGTAATCCCAGCACTTTGGGAGGCCAAGGTGGGCAGATCACGAGGTCAGGAGATCGAGACCGTCCTGGCTAACACAATGAAACCCCGTCTCTACTAAAAATACAAAAAAAAAAAAAAAAAAAAATAGCCGGACACTGTGGCGGGTGCCTGTAGTCCCAGCTACTTGGGAGGCTGAGGCAGGAGGATGGCATGAACCCAGGAGGCGGAGCTTGCAGTGAGCCGAGATCGTGCCACTGCACTCCAGCCTGGGCGACACAGCGAGACTCCGTTTCCAAAAACAAAAAAAAAGCATATTTTAAACTTCTACTGTCATCAAACGGATCAATTTATAGAGGCCATGATTTATGGTTCATATAAACTTTTTATCAAAGAATCGATATTATTTGGTTTAGTAATAAGTGTTATTTTCAACACTGTGGGTCAAAAGTAAAATTTTATGAGGTGTTTTTTTTTGTTTGTTTGTTTTTTGTACAAAACATTTTAAGGTACAAAAAATCGTATGTTAACTACATGACTGCTTACCCATTAGTCTGAATTAACAAGTTCCTCTACCCCTCTCCAGTGCTTTTTTCCTTTCCCGGAAGCAGCCATTATTTGCTATGTATTCACTTCTTCCCCTAGACAGGCAGTCCAGTGTAACCTTAAGACTACTGCATCCAAACAAAGTTCTTGAGAACTTCAAAAAATTCTTTATTTGTCTCAGGTCCATCGCCATGTGATAGTCATTTCTGCTCTGGGTCCATTGTAATTTTGTCCAATCGTTGCTGTTAATTTTCTCCAACCTGTGAACTGCATGGCATATTCAGCCATTGCTATCAAGCTTAATATATACCGATGGAGAAAGAAAATTAATAAATCAGTATTCTAACAATAACTACGGGAACGACCAAATAGAATTGGAGGCTACAGCTTTTTTCTTTTTCTTTTTCCTTTTTTCCTGATAGAGTGGTACAAATATTCCTAAGTTGTCTCAGACTAAGGTTGAGGTCCTTTTTTTTTTTTTTTTTTTTTGAGATGGAGTCTCACTCTATCTCCAGGTTGGAGTGCAGTGGTGCAATCTTGGCTCACTGCAACCTGCATCTTCCGGGTTCAAGGATTCTCCTGCCTCAGCCTCCCAAGTAGCTGGGACTACAGGCGCGCACCACCACGCCCAACTAATTTTTGTATTTTTAGTAGAGATGGAGTTTCACCATGTTGGCCAGGATGATCTCGATCTCTTGACCTTGTGATCCGCCCACCTTGGCCTCCCAAAGTGTTGGGATTACAGGCGTGAGCCACTGCGCCTGGCCAAGGTCATTTTTTATTAATTTCTTGACTGGACTTTCTTTAGAGGTCACTTTGCCATGCCCAGTGATAGAAATTAATGCCTCTAGGTGTTAATCATACTCCTTTTAAAAAGTAACCTTATTTCTTGTGGATAATTCAGGTCTATCATAGATTTAGTCAGCACTCTGTAAGCTGCTCTATGTTTTGCTTTAGTGATATAAAAAATGTTAAGTAGCTAGGTGGCTCCTGTCCCTGGTAGAATTGTCCCTTTCTTATTTCTAAGATCTTCCATCTAACAACACTCATAGTCACAAAGGTTGAAAGCAAAAACTTCTTAAAAAGCTTGTTTGTTCCCAAATGCATGCATTCTATCTGGTACTCGGTATAGGCAAGTACCATCTATGGTTCAGAGCATATCCCAAATCCCATAAGAAAGCATTGTAGACTCAGAAAGTGGTGTTCCCCAGCTTATGCCATAACACTTTTCAGTAAATAGCTTGCTCACTTTATTTATTTATTTATTTTTTAGGTTTAGCATAGTTATGGTCCATAAGGCATGGATAAGGACAGTAAATCCCTTTAGGCATCAACCTTTTGTCTCATTTCCTTCATTTGGAAGTGAGTTTCTTCCTTAGAAGCAGGCTACTAACAATGTGGAATTCATTGCCAAAATGTCATCAGAATGATAGAGTTGCCAAAGATGGTGACACAGTTCTAAGTAATATAAAGATTATTGTTTCTGGCCAGGCGTGGTGGCTCACACCTATAATCCCAGCACTTTGGGAGGCCGAGGAGGGTGGATCACCTGAGGTCAGGAGTTTGAGACCAGCCTGGCCAACATAGTGAAACCTCATCTGTACTAAAAATACAAAAATTAGCCGGGCATGATGGCACATGCCTGTAATCCCAGCTACTCGGGAGGCTGAGGCAGGAGAATTGCTTGAACCCGGAAGGTGGAGGTTGCAGTAAGCAGAGATCGTGCCAGTGCACTCCAGCCTGGGCGACAGAGTGAGACTCCTTCCCCCTTCCCCACCAAAAAAAAAAAAAGATTATTGTTTCCAGAGGAGAGCTCATTCTACTCCAGGACTATCAGAATCAGTCTAGAGGATTTTGGGTTTTATTAACTAGAGATGAGCAACTAGGAGTCCATCTAGAAATGGTTACAGGATATAAGAGAAAACCGTGGTCTATAAGAATAAAGATAAACGGAAGGAGCTGGAGGCATTCGGCCATGAGAAATGGTAGCTACATTGAAAATTCATAATCATATGAGCAATACAACCCTATGAAATGCTCAGAAATAACCTAAACAAAAATTTTAAATGACCTAATGCAGGAAACACTAATCCTTTTTGTAAAGATAGAAAATAATAATTTACTAAATTAAAAGGTATGATTCTAGAATGGAAGGCTGAATATTGTAAAGGTATCATTTATTCCCACATAAATTTATACTCTAAAGTAATTCTGCACAAAGTTCTAATGGAACTGTTCTTTTGAACTGTGTAATTTATCTTTATGAATTTATTTTTATTTTTAATTTGTCTGGGTATATAGTAGACATAGATATTTATGAGGTACATGAGCTATTTTGATATAGGCATACAGTGTATAATAATCCCATCAAGGTAAATGGGATATCCATCACCTCAAGCATTTATCCATTCTTTGTGTTAACAATCCAGTTACATTATTTTGGTTATTTTATTTTTTAAGTATTTATTTTTTTTGAGATGGAGTCTTGCTCTGTCACCCAGGCTGGAGTACAGTGGCATGATCTCAGCTCACTGCAACCTCTGCCTCCTTGGTTCAAGCAATTCTGCCTCAGCCTCCTGAGTAGCTGGGATTACAGGCACCCGCCACCACGCCTGGCTAATTTTTGTATTTTTAGTAGAGAAAGGGTTTCACCATGTTGGCCAGGCTGGTCTCGAACTCCTGATCTCAAGTGATCTGCCTGCATTGGCCTCCCAAAGTGCTGGATTACAGATGTGAGCCACCATGCCTAGCTGTCTTTTGGTTATTTTAAAATGTACAGTGAATTATTGACTGTAGACCCTGTTGTGCTATCAAATACTATATCTTACTGATTATATCTGACTATATTTTTATACCCATTAACAATCCTCACTTCCCCCACACTGCTCACTACCCTTCCCAGTCTCTGGTAGCCATCTTTCTCTCTCATGTGTGTCCATGAATTCAGTTGTTTTAATTTTTAGATCCCACAAATAAGTGAGAACATGTGAAGTTTCTGTTCCTATGCCTGGCTTATTTCACTTTATATAATAACCTCCAGTTTCATCCATGTTGCTGCAAATGACAGGATCTCATTATTTTTTTTGGCTAAATAGTATTCCATTGTGCATGTACTGCCTTTGTGTATATGTACTACATTGTGTATATGTAATAGATTAATTTATCCATTAATCTATTGATGGACACTTAGGTTGCTTCTAAATTTTGGCTATGGCGAACAGTGTTGCAATAAACATGGGGTGCAGATTTATCGCTGACATACTGACTTACTTTATTTTGGTTATATACCTAGCAGTGGGATTGCTGGATCATATGTTAGCTCTAATTGTAGTTTTTTGAGGAATCTACAAACTAACTGTTCTCTATAGTGTTGTACTAATTTACATTCCCAGCAACAGTGTACAAGAGTTCCCTTTTCTCCACATTCTTGCCAACATTTGTTGTTGTATATCTTTTGAATAAAACCATTTTAACTGGGGTGAGATGGTATCTCATTGTAGTTTTGCTTTGCATTTCTCTGATGATCACTGATGTTGAGCACCTTTTCATAAGCCTGTTTGCCATTTATATGTCTTCTTTTGAGAAATGTTTGTTCAGATCTTTTGCCCGTTTTTAAATTGGATTATTAGATTTTTTTTTTCCTATAGAGTTGTTTCAGTTCTTTATACATTATGGCTACTAATCCCTTGTCAGATGGATAGTTTGCAAATGTTTCCTCCTATTCGGTGGTTTGTCTCTTCAGTGTTGTTTCCTTTGCTGTGTGAAATCTTTTTAACTTGATGTGATCACATTTGTCCATTTTTGCTTTGGTTGCCTGTATATGTGGGATATTACTCAAGAAATCTTTGCCAATATTTAATGTCCTAGAGAGTTTTCTCAGTGTTTTCTTCCTGTAGTTTCATAGCTTGAGGTCTTAGATTTAAGTCTTTAATCCATTTTGATTTGATTTCTGTATATGATGAAAGATAGAGGTTTAGCTTTATTCTTCTGCATGTAGATAACCAGCTTTCCCAGCACCATTTGTTGAAGAGACCGTCTTTTTCCCAGTGTATGTTCTTGGCACCTTTGTTGAAAATGAGTTCACTGTAGGTGTGTGGATTTGTTTCTGGGTTCTCTGGTTCTGTTTCATTGGTTTATGTGCCTGTTTTTAAGCCAGTACCATGATGTTTTGGTTATTATAGTATTGTAGTATAATTTGAAGTTAGGTATTGTGATTCCTCCAGTTTCGTTCTTTATGCTTAAGATAGCTTTGTCTATTCTGGGTCTTTTGTGGTTCCATATAAATTTTAGGATTTTTTCTATTTCTGTGAAGAATGTCATTAGTATTTTGATAGGGATTGCCTTGAATACAGATTCAGTGGAATACCCCACTGCTTTAGGTAGTATGGACATTTTAACAATATTGATTCTTCTAATTCATGAACATGGAATATTTTTCCATTTTTTTGTTGTCCTCTTCAATTATCTTCATCAGTGTTTTATAGTTTCCTTTATAGAGATCTTTCACTTCTTTGGTTAATTGCTAGGTATTTGATTTTATGTGTGGCTATTGTAAATGGGATTATTTTTAAATTTCCTTTTCACATTGTTCACTGTTGACATATAGAAATGTGAACTGATTTTTGTATGTTCATTTTTGTATTCTGCAACTTTACTGAATTTATTGATTGTGGAGGCTCTAGGTTTTTACAAATATAAGATTGTATCATTTGCAAACAAGGATAATTTGACTTCTTCCTTTCCAATCTGGATCTCCTTTCTATCTTTCTCTTGTCTGATTGCTCGAGCTAGGACTTCCAGTGCTATGTTGAATAACGGTTTTGAAAGTAGGCATTCTTGTCATGTTCCACATCTTAGAGGAAAGGCTTTCAGTTTCTTCCCCATTCAGTATGATACTAGCTGTGGGTCTGTCATATATGGCTTTTATTATGTTGAGGTATGTGTTCTCTATACCTAGTTTTTTCAGGGTTTTTATCACGAAGAGATGTTGAATTTTAAGAAATGTTTTTTCATCGTCAATTGAAATGATCATGTGGTTTTTGTCCTCCATTTTGTTGATGAGGCATCACATTGATTGATTAGCATATGTTAAACCATCCTTGCATCCCTGGGATGAATACTTCTTGGTCATGATGAATGATCTTTTTAATGTGTTGTTGAATTTGGTTTGCTAGTATTTTGTTGAGGATTTTTGCATCAATATTCATGAGGGAGATTGGCCTGTAGTTTTCTTTTCTTTTTTCTCTTTTTTTTTTTTGGATGTGTCTTTGGTTTACTGGTCTTGTAGAAGGAGTTTGGATGTATTCTCTCCTCTTCCATTTCTTGGAATAGTTTGAGTAGGATTAGTATTAGTTCTTCTTTAACTATTTGGTACAATTCGGCAGTTAAGCCATTGAGTCCTCAGCTTTTCTTTGCTGGGAGACTTTTTATTACAACTTTTACCTTGTTGCTTGTTATTGGTCTCTTTCAATTTTGGATTTCTTCCTGGTTGATAGGTTGTATGTTTCTAGGAATTTGTCCATTTTTTTCTAGCTTTTTCAATTTATTGGTGTAAAGTTGCTCATAGTAGTGTCTCATCATCCTTTAAATTTCTGTGCTATAGGTTGTAATGTCTCCCTTCTTAATCTCTGATTTTATTTACATGAGTCTTCTATTTTTCTTAGTCTGGCTAAAGGTTTGTCGATTTTGTTTATCTTTTCAACAAACAAACTTTTTGTTTCATTTTGCGATGTTTTTCTCATATCAATTTTATGTATTTTTGCTCTGATCTTTATTTCTTTTTTTCTGCTAATTATGGATTTCATTTGCTCTTTTCTAGTTCATTAGCATACGTTGTTAGGTTGTTTATTTGAAGTTTTTCTATGTTTTTTTAATGTAGGTGCTTATACCTATAAACTTTCCTCTTAGTACTGGTTTTGCTGTATCCCGTAGGTTTTGGTATGTTGTGTTTCCATTATCATTTGTCTCAAGAAATTTGTAAATTTCTTTCTTGATTTCTTCCTTGACCCACTGGTCATTCAGAAACATTATTTCATTTCCATGCATTTGTATAGTTTCCAAAGTTCCTTTCATTATTGATTTCTAGTTTTATTTCATTGTGATCAGAGAAATGACTTGATATAATTACAATTATTTTTGAATTTTTGAACACTTGTTTTGTGGCCTAAAATATGACCTGTCCTTGAGAATGATCCATGTGCTGAGAACAATGTGTATTCTGCAGCCGTTGGATGAAATGTTCTGTAAATATCTATTAGGTCCATTCAATGTATCTTCGTTGATTTTTCTGTCTGGATGATCTGTCCAATACTGAAAGCGGGGTGTTGAAGTTTACAGCTGTTATTGTATTAGGTTCTATCTCTCTCTTTAGCTGTAAGAATACTTGCTTTATATATCTGGGTACTCCACCGTTGGGTCCATATATATTTACAGTTGTTATATCCTCTTGCTGAATTGACCTCTTTATCATTATATAATGACCTTTGTCTGTTTTTATAATTTTTGTCTTAAAGTCTATTTTGTCTGATATGAGTATAGCTGTTCTTCCTCTCTTTTGGTTTCTATTTGCGTGGGATATCTTTTTCCATCCTGTTATTTTTAGTCTATTCATGGTCTTTATAGGTTAATTGTGTTTCTTGTAGGAAATAGATGGTTGGGTCTTGTTTTTTTTTGCATTCATTCAACCACTGTATGTCTTTGGATAGGAGGATTTAGTCTACTGCTTTTTATTTTTTATTTTAGATTTGCCCTTTTGAGGCTATTTTCTAGATCCTGTAGGCATGCTTTATTCTTTTTTATTCCTTTTTTTCTTTTGTCTTCTCTGACTGTATTTTCAAATAGCCTGTCTTCAAACTCACTGTGTTTAATCAATTTTGCTGTTAAGAGAGTCTGATGCATTCTTTAGTGTGTCAGGTGTATTTTTCTACTCCAGTATTTCTGCTTCTTTTTAATTATTTCAGTCTTTTTGTTAAATTTGTCTTATAGGATTCTGAGTTCTTTCTCTGTGTCATCTTGAATTTCTTTGAGTTTCCTCAAAGCAGTTTTTTTTTTTTTTTTTTTTTTGAGATGGACTCTTGCTCTGTCGCTGAGGATGGAGTACAGTGGTGCAGTCTCAGCTCACTGCAGCCTCTGCCGCCTGGGTTCAAGCAATTCTCCTGCCTCACCCTCCCGAGTAGCTGGAACTACAGGGGTGCGCCACCACACCCAGCTAATTTTTGTATTTTTAGTAGAGACGGGGTTTCACCATGTTGGCCAAGCTGGTCTTGAACTCCCGACCTCAGGTGATCTGCCCACCTCGGCCTCCCAAAGTGTTGGAATTACAGGCGTGAGCCACTGCACCCAGCCAAAACAGATATTTTTGAATTCTTTGTCTGAAAGGTTCCACATCTCTGTTTCTCCAGGATTGGTTTTTAGTGTCATATTTAGTTCATTTGGTGAGGTCATGTTTTCATAGATGGTCTAGAAGCTTGTGGATATTTGTTGGTGTCTGAGCATTGAAGAATTAGGTATTTATTGTAGTCTTCACAGTCTGACTTTGTTTATACCCATCCTTCTTGGGAGTGCTTTCAAGGAATTCAAAGGGAGTTGGGTGTTATGATCTGAGTTTTTGGTCACTGTAGCCATATCTCCATTAGGGGGCACTTCAAGCCTAGTAACACTGTGGCTCTTGCAGACTTGTAGAGGTACCACCGTGGAGGTTGTATTAGTCCATTTTCAAACTCCTAGAAGTATGCTACCTGAGACTGGTTAATTTATAAAGAAAGGGAGTTCAATTGACTCAGTTCTGCATGGCTGGGGAGGCCTCAGGAAACTTACAATCATGGCAGAAGGTGAAGGGAAAGCAAGGCACGTCTTACATGGGGGCAGGAGAGAGTGAGATCTCAGGGATAACTGCCACGTTAAAACCATCAAGATCTCATGAGAACTCCCTCACTATCACAACAACAGCATGAGAGAAACTGCCCCCATGATCCAATCACCTCCCACCAGGTCCCTCCCTCAACATGTGGGGATTACAATTTGAGATGAGATTTGGCTAGGGACACAGAGCCAAACCATATTATTCCACTCCTGGCCCCTCCCAAATTTCATGTCCTTTTCACATTTAAAAACCAATCATGCCTTCCCAATAGTCCCCCAGAATCAACTCATTCTAGCATTAACCCAAAAGTCCAAGTCCAAAGTCTCATGTGAGACAAGGCAGGTAGGTCCCTTCTGCCTGTGAGCCTGTAAAATAAAAAACAAGTTAGTTAGTTCCAAGATACAGTGGGGGTACAGGCATTGGATAAATGTTCCCATTCCAAACGGGAGAAGCTGGCTAAAACAAAGGGATTACAGGCCCCATGCAAGTTGAAAACCTGGCTGGGCAGTCATTAAATCTTAAAGCTCCAAAATTTCCTTTGACTCCATGTCATACATCCAGGGCATGCTGATGCAAGGGGTTGGCTCCCACAGCCTTGGGCAGCTCCACCCCTGAGGTTTTGCAGGGCACAGCTCCCACAGCTACTGTCATGAGCTGGTGTTTAGTACCTGTGGCTTTTCCAGGTGCACAGTGCAAGCTGTTGGTGGATCTACCATTCTGAGGTCTAGAGGATGGTGGCCCTCTTCTCACAGCTCCACTAGGCAGTGCCCAAGTAGGGACTATTAGTGGGGGCTCCAACTCACATTACCAGTCTGCATTTCCCTAGTAGAAGTTCTCCATGAGTGCTCTGCCCCTGCAGCAGACTTCTTCCTGGACATCTAGGCATTCATATATCCTCTGAAATCTAGGTGGAGGCTCCCAAAGTTCAACTCTTGTCTTCTGTGCATCTGTAGGCCCAACACCACGTGAAACTGTCAAAGCTTGGGGCTTGCACCCTCTGAAGCAATGTCCTGAGCTGTCCTTTTAGCCACAGGTGGAGCTGGAGCAGCTGGGACACAGGGCACCAAGTCCCAAGGCTGTACAGAGCAGCTGGGCCCTAGGCGGGGCCCACAAAACCATTTTTCCCTCCTAGGCCTCCAGGCCTGTGATGGAAGGGACTCCCGTTAAGATCTCTGACATGCCCTGGAGACATTTTCCCCATTGTCTTGGCTATTAACATTTGGCTCCTCGTTACTTATGCAAATTTCTGCAGCCAGCTTGAATTCCTTGAATGGGTTTTTCTTTTCTACTGCATAGTCAGGCTGCAAATTTTTCAAATTTTTATGCCCTGCTTCCCTTTTAAACATAAGTTCCAATTTCAAACCCTCTCTTTGTGAATGTACATAACTGAATGCTTTCAGAATAAGCCAGGTAACCTCTTGAATGCTTTGCTGTTTAGAAATTTCTCCTGCCAGATACCCTAAATCATCTCTTTCAAGTTCAGATCTCCAGGGCAGGGGAAAATTGCTGCCAGTCTCTTTGCTAATGCATAGCAAAAGTGACCTTTATGCCAGTTCCCAACAAGTTTCTCATCTCCATCTGAGACTACCTCAACCTGGACTTCATTGTCCATATCACTGTCAGCATTTTTGGTCAAAACCTTTCAGTAAGCCTCTAGAATGTTCCAGACTTTCCCACATCTTCCTGTCTTCCTCTAAGCCCTCCAGCCTGTTCCAATCTCTGCCTGTTACCCAGTTCCCAAGTTGCTTCCACATGTTCAGGTTATCTTTATAGCAGTGCCCCACTTCTGGCACCAATTCTTTGTATTCATTTTCACACTGCTTTAAAGATACTACCTGAGACTGGTAATTTATAAGTAAAAGAGGTTTAATTGACTAACAGTTCCACATGGTTGGGGAGGCCTCAGGAAACTTACAATCATGGCGGAAGGTGAAGGGGAAGCAAGACACATCTTACGTGGCAGCAGGAGAAAGAGAGCTCAGGGGAAACTGCCACTTCTAAACCATCAAGATCTCCTGAGAACTCCCTCACTATCGTGAGAACAAGGTGGGAACCACACTCATAATCTAATCACCTCCCACCAGGTCTCTGCCTCAACATATGGGGATTACAATTTGAGATGACATTTGGTTGGGTACTCAGAGCCAAACCATATCAGAAGTTTCTGATAAGATCCAGAAGAATTCTCTGGATTACCAGGTAGAGACTCTTGTTCTTTTCCTTTACTTTCTCCCAAAGAAATGGAGTCTGTCTCTGTGCTGAGCTGCTTGGAGCTGCTGTGACACAAGCACCCCTGTGGCCACCACCAGTGGGACTGTTCTAGGTTAGACCTGAAGCCAGCACACACTGGTTCTCGCCTGAGGTCTACAGGAACCACTTGCTGGATACTGCCTATGTTTGTTCAAGGCCCTGGGGCTCTACAATCAGCAGGTGGCAAAGCCAGGGAGTCTTGTGTGCTTTCCTTCAGGGTGGCGATTTCCCCCTGGCCCTAGGCAGGTCCAGAATTGCTGTCTGGGAGCCATGACCTGAAGTCAGAAACCTTAGTGCTTTATTCTGCTGTGGCTGAACTGGCATCCATGCCACAAGACAAAAAGTTCTTATTCTTTCCTCTTTTCCACAAACAGAGGAGTCACTCCCCATGGCCACCACTGCCCCAGGCTTGTGGTGACTGCTGGCTGCCTACCACTGATATTCATTCAAGGCCCAAGGGCTCTTTCGTCACCTTGGGTGAATGCTTCTAGGCCTGGAACTCTCACTTCAGGGCAATGGCCTCCCTTCTGGCCCAGGGCAGGTCCAGAAATGCCATCCATAAGCCAACACCTGGAATCAGGAACTCCTGGAGCTTACTTTGTACTCTACCCCTCTGTGGCTGAGCTGGCACTTAAGCTGCAAAACAAAGTCCTATTTAATCTTCCCTCTCCTTTTCTCAAGCAAAGGGAGTCTCTCCTCATAGCCACCATAGCTGGGAAATGTGCTGGGTCACACCTGAAGCCAGCACATCTCTGAGTCTCACCCAGGTGAGTACTGCCTGGCTACCACTGCTCACTATTCAGGACCCAAGTACTCTTTAGTCAGCAGGTGATGAATCCTGCCAGGACTGGGTCCTTCCCTGCAAGGCAGCAAGTTCCTTTCTGGCCCAGGGTATGTCTAGAAATGTCCAGGAACTAGGTCATGGAATGGAGGCCTCAGGACTCTGCCTGGCATCTCTATCATTCTGTGGCTGAGCTAGTATCCAGGTTGCAAGAGAAAGGTCTGTTTAATCTTCCGTCTTCCGAAGTGAAAGGAAGGACCCTCTCCTGGAGCAAGCTGTGCTGTCTAGGTTTGGGTATGGAGTGGTGCAAGTGCTTCCCTTGGCCATTTTGGCTGGTGTCTTACTAGGTTGCATACGCCCAAGTCAGCTGGCTCTGATTCCAGCACATCACCAAGACTTTCCTGGGAATTGTGTTTCTTATTGCTTTAGGCTATGGTATATGCTATTTTATCACAGAAACCCTAAATTACAGGTAAGTAGTCTAGAGCAGATAGCTGAGTTGCATATCTGGTGGCTGTGGCATCCTTCCATCTCTGGAAGTGTGACTTCCATTTCTGGGTCTAGAGTAACTGCTACAGCTATCATGATCTGCAGTATCTAGGAAGTGGGGGGCTTTAATGGGATACCTTTACTGGAATGCCTGGAAGTTTCACACATTCTTGCACTCTTCCCATGGGCTGAACAAAGTTACCCATATGTTCACACATGGCTGTAAGGGAGATTGGAAGTGTATATAGATGTATAGGTGTAAGGAGGTAGGGAAGTTGGACACGAGGTCATATTTGACAGTTTCTACCAATCATGAAAGAAAAACTAGTATATAGAAAAAAAATGTCCATAATAGTAAGATGAGGGCATATTTTTAAAATGAGATTCCATTTACCTCTATTAGCAATTAATCATTTCTTAATGACTATACACGTGCTGTTGGAGGAAGAGTAAATTGTCGCAGACATATTAATAAGCAATTTAGCAGTCAGTACTTTTTTGAAAACTTCATGAATGGTGTAATTTTTCACTTTGTAAAAAGAATTTACCTTGGATGGGTGATGGGGGAGAATAAGTATAAACAGGAAAATCTTTATTCACAGAATTCTTTATAATTGAACATTTTAACACAACCTGCATTTTCAACATTAGGCTAAGAGTTGACTATATTTAATCTGGTATAACCATAAAAATGTGAAGAATAGGAAGTAAAATGAATATTTTTATTATAAATAATAGAAAAGCTGAATTTCAAATTATGCATACTATATGCAGACAACTTTGTAAACAAATAAAAAACAGGAAAAGATGGGTAAGTTATACATTAAAATGTTAACAATAATTATCCTTGAGTGGTAGGACCTTGTAATTTTTACGTTTATATATTTTCTTAATATTGAAAATTCATACTCTTGCAGTGGAAACTATGTTTTGAAGCCCTGTCACATAGATGAGAATTAGACTTATTTTCTATGACTCTGGAAGCAGAATAAGACCAGTATAAGGGCTTAATTATGACCAGGTTAGGGTTCGATGTAAGATAACATGTTTTTTAGTTAGAGTCATCTATATATGGAATGGATTGCTAAAAAGTCATCTCAATGAAACATATCCCTACCATCCTACTTAAACTGTTTCCCCTGCATTTAAACCCCAATTTCTCCTGTATTCTTAATTACCTTCAGCATTTCTATATTTTCCCTGTATCACTTATAATGTATTAAAATGCTAGATAATTTACTCATTTAGTATGTTAATTATTTACTGTATATTTTCCTCCTCTAGAATTCTCATTCTTCTTGAAGGCAGAGATACATTTCTCTTTGTTTACTCATAAATTCCAAAAGTCATGAACACTGCCTGAAACATAGAAGGCATTCCATATTTGTTCAATGAATTAACAAATGTTTTTCATATTAATTGTTCTGATTTTTACCTCCTTAGGCCAGCCTTTATTATTGCCATATAAGCCTTCTGGTAGTACCAAGATGTATTATGTTCCACAATTAAGACAAATTCCTCCATCTCCGGATTCCAAATCAGATACCACCGTTGAAAGCTCCCATTCAGGTATTATGCAGAAATTATTCGAAGTTTTATTGTTTGATATTTTATTTGTGTATTGGCTAGTTGATTCTGGAGTGACAAAAGTCCAGTGCTCTTTAATTTTTCAGTGAAATATGGAACTTTTCATACCTTGATCTCTGGTTCAGATAGGTGAGTTATTTGATCAGATATATACACATAAGCATTTATAAATATTTGATGAAGGAAATTGTATGGATCATTATTTGGGTTAGTGGGCTCCATCTAGGGCAAAGTTTCTAAGCTTTCTTGGTTCACAGTACCCTTAGTTGTTTCACTGATTTATTTTCTCCGCTTTATATATAATAAGCAATTATTTTTTTCAAATAGCAACTAAGGAATTAGAACATAAATACTAATTGTTTTCCTCTGACAACTAATTTAACAAATTTGTTATTTATTTTTGGTTTTGGTTTTTGAAAAAAAAATTTGTTCATAAATAACAATGATGACTTACTAATGACATATGTGTAGCTGTTGGACACTGTGCAACTTCCCAAACCATGAGATGAGATTGGACCCTCTTATTTTCTGCCTTTTATTACAGCAGCTGCCAAAAATCCAGCTTTTGCCAAGGCACAACAGCATTGAAAAGAACATAGCACTATCTGATGTTGACACTTTGACCTTGAGCTAGTAGTTTATCACTGTCCTTTCCCTAGAATTTTAAACTATCCTGCAGCATCCCTGTGAATCCACTACAGAGGAGGTGCAGAGTTAGGAAATGAATAATACCCCATGGAGGCACTAGATAAATATTTCCTATGGAGATTTTAAGTTAAGGGTGCAGAGTTAGTGTGGTGTAGGGTTTTGATTGGTGGGACAGTATTTTGAGTTGTCGACGGGATATGACTTGATTCACTTTAGACAAATTGTTTTTTCCATGATTGTCTATAAATGTCATTATATATATAGAAATTACAAAGAAAGGAGAAGTTGCCCCTGGTCTTAGGCAGACATTTTTGTTACTTTGATATGAAAGAGAACCAAACTAGCTTCTGATAGTAACTGCACTAAAGCCTCTGATACAACCTCGCCTGATTTCCCACAATGATGGCATTGAAAAAAAAGAACCACAAAAATACTCACCACAAGTTAAGATTGTTAAGTTTATAGCCATAAATGAAGAAATGTTTACTCCTTGCAAGGCTATGGTTTTAAAAACACTGTTAATGGCTACCAGAAAGAAAACAAGCTCACTTAATTGATTGTAGGTAGGAAAATCTTCTGTCCCACTTACTCATAGTTCAGAAGACAGAATGTCTGTAAACAGTAGAAACCTGGTCAGATGTGCCAGTACTTTCTGAGGCCTCCAGTGTCCTGCTATCGATATACGTCACTAACACTTCCATCTGGTTGGAGAGATTAACTTAGAGAAAGACTGAACAGTGTAGGTGATGGGAGAAGAAAATGACTCAGGACTGGCACACTGTATCCTGATAAATATAGTTTCTGTAATAAAGTACTGTATGCATCAGTACGACAAAAAGAGATCTAGTTGCCATACACACTTGAGATTGTTTTTTCATGTTTTCATCTATTCTGAGAGTGAGGAAGTTGGGAATAGAAAATAATCCTTTCTTAGACCAGTAGACCTACACTGGATGAAAGCCTAGAAATTGTTCTAATTCCTAGCCGTTATCTATGAATATGTTGTACATCTATAGCTATGAGAGGAGCCAATTAGAGTTTGGGGCCAAGAGCAAGACATACATCATTGTTAGCAAATATTTGGGCCAAATAACTGTTCTTCAGTTGAGAATCAGTAAATAATAGAACTGATGCAAACAACGACGGCAAAAAACTGGGGCAAAGGAAACAGCCATCCAAAGAAAGAGATAAATGTCTGCAAATAAACCAGTCTTAATAGCAACCCAGGGAGTATTTATTCAAGAAAAATGGCCAAATCCCACTAAGCACAGTAAGCGTTAGCATTTTAACTTGCCCTAGTCCCATTCCCAGTACCTCAGCTCAGTGATAGCCTTCAGAAATATAGCTTTCTTTTCCAAGACCAGAGGATGCAAAATGGAGCTGGGCCTCTTTTAAAAGTTCCTTCCCAAAGAATTGTTAATATTTGACCTATCTAGTGGTTCCGTGAAGATTCCACACAAAAGGCTTATCTTTACTTGACCTGACTGGGAGCCATCCAGTGCTAAAGGCCTCTGGTGAAGGGGAGGGAAAGATGTTTATCAAAAACATTTACAGACAAGTATTTTAATATCATAATGGCTGAGGTGTGGACTAGCAGTTGAGGTAAACAGTAAACTAACTGGAAAGCTTAAAAGTAACACCCGAGGATAAGATGTTGATAGATTCTTTGAAAGGCGCTGACATATTCCTAAGACTCTGGGAGACCCCATGTATGCGTAGGCCTGTGTATGCTCAGGAAAGACCCAAGGCGCTAGGTCTTATCTCTGGCTGACCTTGAGGATCTGTACAAGAAGAAAAGGGAAGGCTAAGGTAAAGTTGACAGCTGCCTAGGTCAGTGTTGAAGGTACATCCCAACATATGTGTGGAGCCATTTGATGAAGGCCGGGAGATTTATTGGTTCTAGGCATTTAAGGAAATCCCTGTTCAGGCATTAGCTGACCATTAAGCTAATTGAGTAGTAACTTCAGTGGCCATATATAAAAAGAATATAGACTTTACAGAATTAATTCAGAGAAGTTATTAAAACAACATAAAGCAACAACACCAAACCCTGAGATGGAAGTAGAATCTGGTTTCCAGAGTTGGCGCATTGTATTACTTAAATGTCCAGGCCGGGTGCGGTGGCTCATGCCTGTAATGCCAGCACTTTGGGAGGCCAAGATGGGAGGATTGCCTGAGCCCTGGAGTTTGAGATCAGCCTGGGCAATGTAGTAAGACCCTGTCTCTACAAAAAATTAAAAATCAGCCAAGCATGATGGCCTACGCTTGTAGTCCCAGCTACTCGGAAGGCTGAGGCATGAGTATCACTTGAACCCTCGAGTTTAAGGCTGCAGTGAACTATGATTGCGCCACTGCAGTCCACTCTGGGCAACAGAGTGAGACCATGTCTCAAAGAACAAAAAAACAAAAAAACAAAGGCAACAAAAGAAAAATATATATGGGAGACTTTATCAAAATTCAAAACTTTTGTACACAAAACCCAGTCAAAAGAATGAAAAGGTGACTCACAGCATAGGAGAAAATATTTGCAAATCATTTATCTGTTGAGAGATTAATACCTAAAATATGTAAGGAACCCTTACAACTCAACAACAATAACCCAAACAATCTGATTCATAAATGGGCACAGAATCTGATGGACATTTCTCCAAGGAAGACGTGCAAATAGCCAATAAACACCTGAAAATCTTCTCTATATCATTAATCATGAGGGAAATACCAAACAAAACCATAGTAAGATACCACTTCACACCCATTACAATCACTGTTATTTTAAAAAATAAGCGGAGAGAGCCAAGATGGCCGAATAGGAAGAGCTCCAGTCTGCAGCTCCCAGTGTGAGCGATGCAGAAAACGAATGATTTCTGCATTTCCAACTGAGGTACTGGGTTCATCTCACTAGGGATTGTAGGACAGTGGGTGCAGGACAGTGGGTGCAGCACACCGAGCGTGAGCCGAAGCAGGGCAAGGCATCGCCTCACCCGGGAAGCGCAAGGGGTCATGGAATTCCCTTTGCTAGCCAAGGAAAGGAGTGACAGAAGGCACCTGGAAAATCGGGTCACTCCCACCCTAATACTGCGCTTTTCCAACGGGCTTAAAAAATGGCACACCAGGAGATTATATCCCGCACCTGGCTCGGAGGATCCTACGCCCACGGAGCCTCGCTCATTGCTAGCACAGCAGTCTGAGATCAAACTGCAAGGCGGCAGCGAGGCTGGGGGATGGGCGCCCTCCATTGCCGAGGCTTGAGTAGGTAAACAAAGCGGCCGGGAAGCTCGAACTGGGTGGAGCCCACCATACCTCAAGGATGCCTGCCTGCCTCTGTAGACTCCACCTCTGGGGGCAGGGCATAGCCAAACAAAAGGCAGCAGAAACCTCTGCAGACTTAAATGTCCCTGTCTGACAGCTTTGAAGAGAGTAGTGGTTCTCCCAGCACACAGCTGGAGATCTGAGAACGGACAGATTACCTCCTCAAGTGGGACCCTGACCCCTGAGTAGCCTAACTGGGAGGCACCCCCCAGGAGGGGCAGACTGACACTTCACACGGCCGGGTACTTCTCTGAGACAAAACTTTCAGAGGAACGATCAGGCGGCAACATTTGCTGTTCACCAATATTCGCTGTTCTGCAGCCTCTGCTGCTGATACCCAGGCAAATAGGGTCTGGAGTGGACCTCCAGCAAACTCCAACAGACCTGCAGCTGAGGGTCCTGACTGTTACTAACAAACAGAAAGGACATCCACACCAAAACCCCATCTGTACGTCACCATCATCAAAGACCAAAGGTAGATAAAACCACAGAGATGGGGAAAAAACAGAGCAGAAAAACTGAAAATTCTAAAAATCGGAGCGCCTCTCCTCCTCCAAAGGAACGTAGCTCCTCACCAGCAATGGAACAAAGCTGGATGGAGAATGACTTTGACGAGTTGAGAGAAGAAGGCTTCAGATGATCAAACTACTCCGAGCTAAAGGAGGAAGTTCGAACCCATGGCAAAGAAGTTAAAAACCTTGAAAAAAGATTAGACGAATGGCTAACTAGAATAACCAATGCAGAGAAGTCCTTAAAGGACCTGATAAAGCTGAAAACCATGGCAAGAGAACTACGTGGCGAATGTACAAGCCTCAGTAGCCGATTTGATCAACTGGCAGAAAGGGTATCAGTGATGGAAGATCAGATGAATGAAATCAAGCGAGAAGAGAAGTTTAGAGAAAAAAGAATAAAAAGAAACAAAGCCTCCAAGAAATATGAGACTATATGAAACAACCAAATCTACGTCTGATTGGTGTACTTGAAAGTGACGGGGAGAATGGAACCAAGTTGGAAAATACTCTGCAGGATATTATCCAGGAGAACTTCCCCAATCTAGCAAGGCAGGCCAACATTCACATTCAGGAAATACAGAGAATGCCACAAAGATGCTCCTCGAGAAGAGCAACTCCAAGACACATAATTGTCAGATTCACCAAAGTTGAAATGAAGGAGAAAATGTTAAGGGCAGCCAGAGAGAAAGGTCGGGTTACCCACAAAGGGAAGCCCATCAGACTAACAACTGATCTCTCAGCAGAAACTCCAATCCAGAAGAGAGTGGGGGCCAGTATTCAACATTCTTAAAGAAAAGAATTTTCAACCCAGAATTTCATATCCAGCCAAACTAAGCTTCATAAGTGAAGGAGAAATAAAATCCTTTACAGACAAGCAAATGCTGAGAGATTTTGTCACCACTAGGCCTGCCCTAAAAGAGCTCCTGAAGGAAGCACGAAACATGGAAAGGAACAACTGGTACCAGCCACTGCAAAAACATGCCAAATTGTAAAGACCATTGAGGCTAGGAAGAAACTTCATCAATCAACTAACGAGCAAAATAACCAGCTAACATCACGATGACAGGATCAAATTCACACATAACAATATTAATCTTAAATGTAAATGGACTAAATGCCCCAATTAAAAGACACAGACTGGCAAATTGGATAAAGAGTCAAGACCCATCCGTGTGCTGTATTCAGGAAACCCATCTCATGTGCAGAGTCACACATAGGCTCAAAATAAAGGGATAGAGGAAGATCTACCAAGCAAATGGAAAACAAAAAAAGGCAGGGGTTGCAATCCTAGTTTCTGATAAAACAGACTTTAAACCAACAAAGATCAAAAGAGGCAGAGAAGGCCATTACATAATGGTAAAGGGATCAATTCAACAAGAAGAGCTAACTATCCTAAATATGTGTGCACCCAATACAGGAGCACCCAGATTGATAAAGCAAGTCCTTAGAGACCTACAAAGAGACTTAGACTCCCACACAATAATGTGAGGACTTTAACTCCCCACTGTCAACATTAGACAGATCAATGAGACAGAAAGTTAACAAGGCTATCCAGGAATTGAACTCAGCTCTGCATGAAGCAGACCTAACAGACATCTACAGAACTCTCCACCCCAAATCAACAGAATATACAGTCTTCTCAGTACCATACCACACCTATTCCAAAAGTGACCACATAGTTGGAAGTAAAGCACTCCTCAGCAAATGTAAAAGAACAGAAATTATAACAAACTGTCTCTCAGACCACAGTGCAATCAAACTAGAACTCAGGATTAAGAAACTCACTCAGAACCGCTCGACTACATGGAAACTGAACAACCTGCCCCTGAATGACTACTGGGTACATAACGAAATGAAGGCAGAAATAAAGATGTTCTTTGAAACCAGTGAGAACAAAGATACAACATACCACAATCTCTGGAACACATTCAAAGCAGTGTGTAGAGGGAAATTTATAGCACTAAATGCCCACAAGAGAAAGCAGGAAAGATCGAAAATTGACAGCCTAACATCACAATTAAAAGAACTAGAGAAGCAAGAGCAAACACATTCAAAAGCTAGCAGAAGGCAAGAAATAACTAAGAGCAGAACTGAAGGAAATAGAGTCACAAAATACCCTTCAAAAAATCATTGAATCCAGGAGCTGGTTTTTTGAAAAGATCAACAAAATTGATAGACTGCTGGCCAGACTAATAAAGAAGAAAAGAGAGAAGAATCAAATAGACGCAATAAAAAATGATAAAGGGGATATCACCACCGATCCCACAGAAATACAAACTACCATCAGAGAATACTACAAACACCTCTATGCGAATAAACTAGAAAATCTAGAAGAAATGGATAAATTCCTCAACACATATACCTTCCCAAGACTAAACCAGGAAGAAGTTGAATCTCTGAATAGACCAGTAACAGGCTCTGAAATTGAGGCAATAATCGATAGCTTACCAACCAAAAAAAGTCCAGGACCAGATGGATTCACAGCCGAATTGTACCAGAGGTACAAGGAGGAGCTGGTACCATTCCTTCTGAAACTATTCCAATCAATAGAAAAAGAGGGAATCCTCCCTAACTCATTTTATGAGGCCAGCATCATCCTGATACCAAAGCCTGGCAGAGACACAACCAAAAAACAGAATTTTAGACCAATATCCCTGATAAACATTGATGCAAAAATCCTCAATAAAATACTGGAAAACCGAATCCAGCAGCACATCAAAAAGCTTACTCACCATGATGAAGTGGGCTTCATCCCTGGGATGCAAGGCTGGTTCAACATTCGTAAATCACTAAATGTAATCCAGCATATAAACGGAACCAAAGACAAAAACCACATGATTATCTCAATAGATGCAGAAAAGGCCTTTGACAAAATTCAACAACCCTTCATGCTAAAAACTCTCAATAAATGAGGTATTGATGGGACATATCTCAAAATAATAAGAGCTATCTATGACAAACCCACAGCCAATATCATTACTGAATGGGAAAAAACTGGAAGCATTGAAAACTGGCACAAGACAGGGATGCCCTCTCTCACCACTCCTATTCAACACAGTGTTGGAAGTTCTGGCCAGGGCAATCAGGCAGGGGAAGGAAATAAAGGGTATTCAATTAGGAAAAGAGGAACTCAAATTGTCCCTGTTTGCAGATGACATGATTGTATATCTAGAAAACCCCATTGTCTCAGCCCAAAATCTCCTTAAGCTGATAAGCAACTTCAGCAAAGTCACAGGATACAAAATCAGTGTAGAAAAATCACAAGCATTCCTATACACCAATAGCAGACAAACCGAGAGCCAAATCATGAGTGAACTCCCATTCACAATTGCTTCAAAGAGAATAAAATACCTAGGAATCCAACTTACAAGGGATGTGAAGGACCTCTTCAAGGAGAACTACAAACCACTACTCAATGAAATAAAAGAGGATACAAACAAATGGAAGAACATTCCATGCTCATGGGTAGGAAGAATCAATATTGTGAAAATGGCCATACTGCCCAAGGTAATTTATAGATTCAGTGCCATCCCCATCAAGCTACCAATGACTTTCTTCACAGAATTGGAAAAAACGACTTTTAAAGTTCATATGGAACAAAAAAAGAGCCTGCATCGCCACGTCAATCCTAAGACAAAAGGACAAAGCTGGAGGCATGACGCTACCTGACTTCAAACTATACTACAAGGCTACAGTAACCAAAACAGCATGGTACTGGTACCAAAACAGAGATATAGACCAACGGAACAGAACAGAGCCCTCAGAAATAATGCCGCATATCTACAGCTATCTGATCTTTGACAAACCTGAGAAAAACAAGCAATGGGGAAAGGATTCCCTATTTAATAAATGGTGCTGGGAAAGCTGCCTAGCCATATGTAGAAAGCTGAAAGTGGATCCCTTCCTTATACCTTATACAAAAATTAATTCAAGATGGATTAAAGACTTACATGTTAGACCTAAAACCATAAAAACCCTAGAAGAAAACCTAGGCAATACCATTCAGGACACAGGCATGGTCAAGGACTTCATGTCTAAAACACCAAAAGCAATGGCAACAAAAGCCAAAATTGACAAATGGGATCTAATTAAACTAAAGAGCTTCTGCACAGTAAAAGAAACTACCATCAGAATGAACAGGCAACCTACAGAATGGGAGAAAAATTTTGCTATCTACCCATCTGATAAAGGGCTAATATCCAGAATCTACAATGAACTCCAACAAATATACAAGAAAGAAACAAACAACCCCATCAACAAGTGGGCGAAGGATATGAACAGACACTTCTCAAAAGAAGACATTTATGCAGCCAACAGACATGAAAAAATGCTCATCATCACTGGCCGTCAGAGAAATGCAAATCAAAACCACAATGAGATACCATCTTACACCAGTTAGAATGGCGATCATTAAAAAGTCAGGAAACAATAGGTGCTGGAGAGGAGGTGGAGAAATAAGAACACTTTTACACTGTTGGTGGGACTGTAAACTAGTTCAACCATTGTTGAAGTCAGTGTGGCGATTCCTCAGGGATCTAGAACTAGAAATACCATTTGACCCAGCCATTCCATTAACTGGGTATATACCCAAAGGATTATAAATCATGCTGCTATAAAGACACATGCACAGGTATGTTTATTGCGGCACTATTCACAATAACAAAGATTTGGAACCAACCCAAATGTCCAAGAATGATAGACTGGATTAATTAAATGTGGCACATATACACCATGGAATACTATGCAGCCATAAAAAATGATGAGTTCATGTCCTTTGTAGGGACATGGATGAAGCTGGAAACCATCATTCTCAGCAAACTATTGCAAAGACAAAAAACCAAACACTGCATGTTGTCACTCATAGGTGGGAATTGAACAATGAGAACACATGGACACAGGAAGGGAACATCACACACTGGGGCCTGTTGTGGGGTGGGGGAAGCGGGGAGGGATAGCATTAGGAGATATACCTAATGTTAAATGACGAGTTAATGGGTGCAGCACACCAACATGGCACATGTATACATATGTAACAAACCTGCACGTTGTCACATGTACCCTAAAACTTAAAGTATAGTAAAAAAATAAATAAATAAAAAAGCAAAGAATGGAAAATTATCAGTGTTGTCAGGGACATGGAGAAATTGGAACCATTGCTTATTGCTGGTGGGAATGTAAAATGGTATAGCCATTACGGAAAACATTGTGGCTATTCCTCAAAAAATTAAACATAGAATTATAGTATGATCCAGTAATTCCACTTTTAAATATATACCCCAACAAAGTGAAAGTAGGATCTTCAAGAGCTATTTGTACACCCATGTTCATAACAGCATTATTCACAGTGGCCAAGAGGTGGAAACAACCCAATGTCTATTGATCTATGAATGGATAACAAAATGTGACATATATGTGTAATGGAGTATTATTCAGCCTTAAAGAGGAATGAAATTCTGGTACATGCTACAACATGGATGAACTCTGAAGACATTAGGCCAACTGAAATAAGCCAGTCTGCTTATATGAGGTACCTAGAAAAGTCAGATTCATGGAGACACAAAGTAGAATTGTGTTTACTAGGGGCTGGGGCTAGGGGGAGTGGGAAGTTACTATTTAATGGGTACAGAGTTTAAGTCTGGGAAGATGAGTAGGTTCTGGAGATAGATGGTAGTGATGGTTACATAACAGTGTGAATATACTTAATGCCACTGAAGTGTACACTTAAAAATGATTAATTTTTTGTGGTTTTTTTTTTTTTTTTTGAAACAGAGTCTTGCTTTGTTACCCAGGCTGGAGTACAGTGGCACAATCTCAGCTCACTGCAGCCTCCGCCTCCCAGATTCAAGCAGTTCTCCTGCCTTAGCCTCCTGAGTAGCTGGGATTATAGGCACCCACCACCACGCCCAGCTAATTTTTGTATTTTTAGCAGAGATGGGGTTTCACCATGTTGGCCAGGCTGGTCTCAAACTCCTGACCTCAAGTGATCTTCCTGCCTCAGCCTCCCAAAGTGCTGGGACTATAGGCGTGAGCCACCGCACGTGGTCATGGTTACATTTTATGTATATTTTACCACAGTTAAAAAAACTTAAGAAGTTACCAAAAATCTTAATTGAATTTTAAAAGTAGATGTCTATGTTCCAAATCAGGGTTGAGTATACGAAATTAGCAAAGTAACAGAACGAGAAATACAGGAAACTTTAAGATAGCATAAACAGTTAAATCAGATGAGTGGAATTCGGTGAGATGTCTTTAGCTGTGATAAATAATTTTAGCATATGTTGATATTGTCTCATGCATGTATTTAACTTAAGCAAGTTCAAATAAATATACTTAACAAAAGAGGAGAGAAAGAATTTTAAAAGTGCAGGTGTTTTGTGCATGCACTCTACCCTTTATGAACATATGACTACGGAAGAATATGTAATGAAAGATGGGAAACTTCATTCTCAAAATTAATTGTAGTCCTCGTTTGCCTTTTGTAGTGTAGGCATCTTATCTTGCTTATTTGGGTATGATTCTAGAGTTTGAAGAAATGTCTTTTTGGTACAATATCAGATACTTCATCAGGTGCTCAGATTCAGGTGCAGTGCTATGTTACAAGCTTGGAGGAAAAAGTGGACCCTCATGGGTTTCTTGAGCAGACACGATGTCAATTTCAACATATGCCTTCCTAAGGTACCTTCAAGGGTGATTTTGACCCTCTATAGCAAGGTTTTCACCTCACATGCTGACTTTAAACCCTGAATTCCATTTAAAATGTATCTCTACTTTAGTGAAAAAATAGTAATGAGACTGTATATGGTATGATCCCTGTAAATGTTCACTTAGTAGGATATATAACCAAGGTTTAGTTGGGTTTTCTTTTATTGTTTCCTTCATACTTTCCTGAATTTTCTACAATGATCAGGTTGTTTTGTTTGTTTGTTTGTTTTTAATGATGGGAAGCTGTCAGCTCACGTTCATTTGTTTATTCAAACAATAGGTATTAAAGATGTTACTGTGTTCCACGCAGATACACTGTGGTAGGTGTTACAATTTCAGTATTGCTCAAAATAAACTATAATGGAGTTTATGTTCACGTTGGTTGACAGATATTAAACAAATAAACCATAAATAAGTACGTAATTACAAGTGATAAATGCTAAGAAAATAAGAAGAGTTCCAAGATAAACAAGTAGACCCAGTTTTGTTTTACGAACTTATGAAGATCTTTTCCAGGAAGAAACTTTTGAGCTGAACTCTAGAGGATGGGAATGAATTAGGTAGGCAGAGAGTGGAGTGTGAGAATGTTCCGGCGAGAGGGAAGAAGATGGGGAAAGCCCCTGAAGCAGAAAAGAGCTTGATGCATTTGACAAATGGAAAGAAGGCAGCGTGGGTTGAAATTCCAACAAATTTAAAGATCTGATTGGTTTTTGTAGTGATTCATGAATCAGGCAACATCCCATTCTATAATATGGAAAGGGTGCACTGGGCATGGGAGAGAGTTGGTTCTGGTAAGGTAGCCAGACCAGGAACAAGGAAACACAATACAGACAGTCCCCAATTTACAGTGGTTCCGTTGAACTATTTTTTGACTTTATGATGGTATGGAAATGATACACATTTAGTAGAAACCGTACTTCAGTACAGTATTTAATAAACTATATGAACTATTTGATACTGTATTATAAAATAGACTTCATGTTAGATGATTCTGCCCACCTGTAGGCTATTGTAAATGTTCTGATTATGTTTAAAGTAGGCTGGGCTAGGTTATGATGCTTGGTAGGTTAGGGGCATTAAATACATTTTTGACTAACAGTATTTTCAACCTATGATGGACTTACCAGGACATAACTACATTGTAAGTGGTGGATCATCTGTAATACCAAAAAAAGCATATTGATTAACATCAGGTTACTTACCTGGTAAAGATTAAAGCAGAGATAAGTTCCTTTTTACGCCAGCTCAGGGTGACTGGCCCCTTTTTCAGTTAGTTGCTGTGAATCTCTTGTTTTTAGAAAAAACTGGTCCATTTTGGAACTTTCCTTCTTTCTTAAAGTTTCAGTTGGATTGTATGGCATTTAGTACAAGTGACTACATTTTGGTTTGGTCTCTTGGGGCTTAGTGCAGGAGCTCAGTCTAAAACAATGGACTCCCATAAATTTTATTTAACAGGGTAGAGCATAGTGATGGGTAGATATGGTTAAAGATAGGTGGGTTCAAGATCATGCAGGATCTTATCAACTGTATTAAAGTGTTCGGATTTTATTCTAGTACTACTGCAATTATGGTTTGATTTATACTTGTAAAGTTTATTCTTGCCACTATATGGAGAAATGGTTTATAGATGGGAAGGCGGAGAGCCATGGCGGGGCGGGTTAGAGTGCAAGTAGAGACACCAGTTAGTTAGAAGGCTGTTGCTTTAGACAGTACCAGAGATGGTAGCATGAGTATCACAGTGTTATCTATAGAGATAGGGAGAAATGGACAGTCAGCATCCTTTTAGAAATAGTTTCTCCTAGATTTGGTGATAGGAGTATGGAGAGTGAGGGAGAAGAGCGTGAAAAAAATGTCTGGCGTGAGCAACTAGGTGAATAGAGGTGCCATTTACTGAGGTGGAGATTGAGGAAAAAGCAGATTTGGGGAAGATGATCAAAATGTCTGCTTTGGACATGTTAAAAATGAGATTCCTATTATACATCCACATAGAGATGTTGGGTCTACAATTGAATGTAGGCAGAGTTAATTTACACATGTTAAGGTAATAGTGCCACATATAAGGTGGCATTATTCACATTATAAATATATACTTTTATGAAAACATACAGATGGGCATGAATATTCCAGATCTTTAGTTAGAGTTCTGGAGCAATAATGTTAACTCTTGTGCTGCCCCAAACATAAATCTATACTCGCACATACTATAGCTATGCACAGGTACAGGAAAATAAGTATATGTACATTCACTGACACGCACACATGTGTGGCTGCACTCTCTCAGCTGCCTCTCACCTCCTCTGAGGTTGATTCTCTTGCTTATTCACCCACTGCTCTCAGGGATGTAATTGTTCCTCACCTGACTCTGAACTTGAAAGGGTCATCTCTCTTGGAGAACGAGGGGTGGTGGTGCAGACTGTGCGTGCACATGCTGCTGCTGGTGTGTACTCCCTGGGAGAATTTGTGAAAAGAATGACCACCATTTACAGTTGTTTGTGTTGTACTACAATATATAGTAACTTAAACATTTTGATTTGAAGAAGACACATCTTTTCTAATTTCCATAAAAGTGCTGTAAGAGCTAGCCGTGTCCCTGAATGCTGGAGTCGGATGCTCAGAAGAAAGGTACTCTTGGGCAATGGTACATTATTTGTTGGTCATCAGCATATACCTTGGTGGTCGATAAGTTTACCTAGGAAGAGAAGAGAGGCCAGTTCCGACTCCTTAAGGAACTCCACCATTGAGAGATTTGGTAGAAGAAAATATAAAAAATAAGTTTCCGGAGAGGTAAGAGGCAAATAAGAGAAAGTGATGTTACAGAAGTTGAGAAGAACCCAATATAATCTATTTGGCCCAGAAGGCTTGGTGTTTTCCTTGCAGTCTGTCCTGCAAAACTCTTCAGGGCTTACTGTGCACTGTACTAATGATACAGGTACTTACCCAGCTCTTATTGCCATATACATACTAGGAGCTCAGGAAATAGAGGATCTTAGAAAAATCATCTCATAGGAGATTAGTATAAGCCTTTATATGTCCAGAAATGTTCTTTTGCCTGTTAGATGTGGCATGGATTATAGATTAATTTATTTTATCAAGGAATGTGGGAATATTGAAATATATTTTAAAAGAAAATTAAATACTTTCAAATCTTTTACTTATCATCTGTCATTTTCCATTCAGTGTTTTGTCTTTTGTATTGTCAGATTAATCTTCTGGAAACATAGCTAAATATATTATTATTTTGTTGAAAAATCTTCCGTTATGTTGCATTTTATATACAATAAAGTTTATACTCTTCAGCTTGGGATCCCATGCACTGGTGAATTTTGTCCCAAACAACTATTTTTTAATATCTTCTACCACTGTCCTTAATGTATTCTGCAATCCAACCTGACCATAAAGTGTCCACTATTTTTAAATACTTCTTTTCTTTGCTTATGCTATAACTTCTGCCTAAAATGCCTTTCTTCCTTCCTCTCTATATCAAAAAACTACTTTTTTTCCAAGATACAATCCATTTTCTCCTTCCTCCAAAACCATCATGAGCTGGAAATATTCTCTCTCCTGAACTGATTCTCCATTTTACATCTTCTTTTATATCATTTGCATCTCTGCCTTGTATTATTAGAATTTATTTTACATGGCTTACAACTTCAGTTTGACTGACGTTTCCTTCTGATTATCCTACCCATTGTAGTGTAGTGTTTTTTTGTTTGTTCGTTTGTTTGTTTGTTTGTTTTTTAAGACCAAGTCTCACTCTGCCACTCAAGCTGCAGTGCGGTGGCAACATCTCTGCTCACTGCAACCTCTGCCTCCCAGGTTCAAGCGATTCTCCTGCCTCAGCCTCCCAAGTAGCTGGGATTACACGCACCTGCCACCACGCCTGGCTAATTTTTGTATTTTTAGTAGAAATGGGGTTTCACCATCTTGGCCAGGCTGGTCTTGAACTCCTGACCTCAGGCAATCCGCCTGCCTCCACCTTCCAAAGTGCTGGGATTACAGGCATGAGCCATCGTGCCTGGCCTGTAGTGCTTTTTTCATAGAATTGGTCTAAGAGGCAAATTTTTAAAAAGTCTTTCTCAATCTCATGTCGCTATTTGTGTTTTGTATTACTTCCCCGTTTTTCTGTAGGATCCAATGATGCCATTGCTCCAGACTTCCCAGCTCAGGTGCTAGGCACAAGAGATGATGACCTCTCAGCCACTGTTAACATTAAACATAAAGAAGGAATCTACAGTAAGAGGGTAGTGACTAAGGCATCCTTGCCAGTGGGAGAAAAACCCTTGCAGAATGAAAATGCAGGTAACTGGATTGGCTTTGTATACTTTGTAGCTTTTTCTCCCCTTTTCATCCTAAATGAGATTACTATCCAATCTTTATCCTTTTTTTCTGTTTTGTTATACAAGCTTTTCTCCTTGCTGTTATATTGAGCATATACAAGAAGGCAAAATTTCATAAAATCCTTTAATAATAAAGGAAGCATAAGCTTCAGAGATTTTTGAAAATTATAAACTTCATTTTCACAACGGATAATAAAATATGATACAACTTTTGAAATGAAATAATACCCAATCAAGTATGTTTTAGATACTAAGATCCACAGAAAATCTTGATTAAATGCCACATTAGTTTATCTCTGTCAGATATTACAAAGTAATGTCTTATAGGCTGGATTCTGTAGGGAGATATGTAGCTGACATGATTTTTTTTTTTTAATTTTTTTAAAGACAGGGTCTCACTCTGTCACCCAGGCTGGAGTGCAGTGATGCAATTATAGCTCACTGCAGTGTTGAACTCCTGGACTCCAGTGATCCTCCCACCTCAGCCTTCTGACTAGCTGGGGCCAGAGGCACACACCACTATGCCTGGCTAATAATTTTTTTATAGTGATGGGGGGTTTTTTGTAGTGATGGGGGTCTCGCTATGTTGCCTGGGCTGGTCTTGAATTCCTGGCCTCAAGCTGTCTACCAGCCTCAGACTCTCAAAGTGCTGAGATTACAGGCATGAACCACCGCATCCAGCCCCCATGTTGTTTTAAAATTTTTAAAATTTTCCACCAACATTCAAAACTAAGATTTTTGATTTTCCTTGAAAAATCAGAAAATCTGACTGCCCTTTGGCTCGCATTCATTCATGGTGGTAATCAGCTGCAGCTGAGCCATGGCTGTCCCCCTGCAGGCAGGACATCCATTCTCTTGTTTGCTTCCATCTCCACAGCTCTGAGACCCAGTCTGCTTCATTCATCCACCTTATCTGTCTGCTGATCACTGTGGGTATTTGAGTTTCAATCTTTTTTTTTTTTTTTTTTTTTTTTTTTTGAGTTGGAGTTGCGATCTTGTTGCCCAGGGTGGAGTGCGATGGCGCGATCTTGGCACACTGCAACCTTCACCTCCCGGGTTCAAGCGATTCTCCTGCCTCAGCCTCGAGTAGCTGGGTTTACAGGCACCCGCCTCCACACCCAGCTAATTTTTTGTATTTTTAGTAGAGGTGGGGTTTCACCATGTTGGCCAGGCTGGTCTTGAACTCCAGACCTCAGATGATCTGCCTGCCTCGGCCTCCCAAAGTGCTGGGATTACAGGCATGAGCCACCGTGTCTGGCCCCCACTGTTTTATAAAAGCTTTTTTTCTTCTGCACCCCTGCCATTATACTTTTGTAGCTGATAGATGATAATATTTATTAAATGAAAACTCCAGTAGCCACTGAAAATTCTGTGTGTATAATTGCCTGTGTTTGTTACATTTATACTTTTTTATTCCTGTGTATAACTATTAGCTAAATAGGTGCTACTGATCCCAGGGCAGTTTTTAAATGTAGGGTGGCTCTATGTTCTAGTTTTGGCATAGTGTTAATGACTTTGTGTGATAGCATCAGTGCCTTTGTGAGAAAAATAAATGAGATCTGCATGGTTTTTTTTATTTTATTTTATTATTGTTATACTTTAAGTTTTAGGGTACATGTGCACAATGTGCAGGTTAGTTACATATGTATACATGTGCCATGCTGGTGTGCTGCACCCATTAACTCGTCATTTAGCATTAGGTATATCTCCTAAAGCTATCCCTCCATTTTTTTAGATAATTTCGTTCTACTTCAAAACACAGTGAAGTCTTTTTATAAATCCCTTTTGAAATAAGAGAAGCATATCTACCAGCTAACATTGAGACTGCCAAGTAAATAAAAAGAAATAATTTTACAAAATATAGTTCATAAATGAAAACTCTTCTGCACCAGGGAATCCGTTACGTGTTTTCCACTATCCATATGCTAGTGGCAGTTTGGTTGAAACAGATAAGCCTAAGATCCCAGTGTCAGATACTTCAGGTGAGTGTAGATGTGGAAAAATTGGCAGGAAAGAAGTGAACTCTGTCAGAAGTCTGCACAAAGAACTCACCAGCTTTACCTCACTCCCAGGCTTCATTTGGTAAGGATGATACATTTGAAATAAAGTCAGGCTCAGTTATCTGAGGACCTCTACAATCTCCCATCTGTTGGTCTACTTACAGACTTTGCATCCTAAGGAAAAGCCCTCCTCCTGGCTTAGTCCTTAGTAGCCATTTCACCTTGAGAGAAGCCTAGCCTCAGAACCTCTTGCCTTAGAGAATTAAAGAAGAATAGAGGAGAGAATGCCTGCCTGGGAAACTGAACAATGACCTATGTAATAGCTAAATGAGCTCATAAAATATCATATCATAAGTAAAATTCTCAGTGGAAGGGGTGGAATATAAAAGTGAGAAAATCTCTTCAAAAATAGAACATAAAGAGAAGGGAAAAGATTTTTTAAAATTCAAGATTGTCCCCAAAGTTTCAACATTCAAAGCAGGTATTCTGTAAAGACAATAGAGAAGGCAAAAAAGAAAGAACCAAAGGACTAGTATAGGAATAAATTTCAGAACTGAAAGATGTGAGTTTTCATACTAAAAGGGACTACCATGTACATAAAAATACACACCGAGGCACATGACCTTGACATTTTAAAACTGATTTGAAAAGAGATTCTAACAGCTTCCAAAAAGAAAACATACATTCCATATAAAGAAATGGAAATGAGACTGGCATCAGACTTCTCAAAAGTGATAAACAGAGTTAGAAACCAAAGGAGTAATACCTTAGAATTCTGAGAGAAAATTATTTCACTAAAACAAGGGAGTTTATTTAAGTTACAAAAGAAGGAAAGAAAGAAAACATGGTGGGATTGAGGAAATGGAGGGGGCCAACACAGGAAATGGGAAACGAATTCTCACTGTGGCGGTGGTACACAAGGCCTAGAACCCATTCAGTTTGAAGCCTGCAAGGAAAAAGTCGAATTTGTAGGATACCTTATGTGATTGACTATACTTAGAGGAGGTTTTCAGTTCTATTTGCAGCTATGAGGATGAAGTAGGGATTGGCACATAGAAACTCAGAAAATGCAAAAACAAAGCGGTTATTAACTCTTCAGGAAAGCAGAAGTTTGTAATAGAAAATAAATGTAATTACAGTATACTAGCTGGCTTAGCTGTGAATAATAATTATATAAACAATCATATGTAAATACTAAATATAAACTTAATTGAATATTGATTTAATCACTCAGACCATTATTTATGTGACATATAAACACTGAATGTTAATATAGGGCTAAAACTTTTCAGAAGATAGGATGAAAGGATATATATGGGTAGGAGGGTTTTATAATGAGATAAATCCATAGATCTTAGTATATAGTATAAGAATAAATCCCAGAACTGAAAGATGTGAGATTGTAATTGATCTTAGAAGGAAATCAATAGATAATTTCTGGAACATAAAATGATATGGTAGTATAAAGCATGTTATTAGGAAATAAGGATATTGATCCTAGAATAAATGGCTAAAGAAGTTGAAAATGGTAGCCTTTAGAAATTGGGGATCTGTAGTGGATAGGAGAGGGAACTGCTGACTTTTCTTGTAAGCCTCGTGAAACTATTTGACTTTTAAAACATATACATTGTTATTTTTATTAAATCAGAATTTATATTGTCCTTCACCTCAAAAAAGTAAGAAGAAAAAAATACATTTGGCAAATACTGACTAAAGAAAAGCTAGTGTTGATATGGACAAAATATAATTCCAGGACAAAAAAAAAAAAATTAAAGGTAGATACAAGAGTTTATCTCATAGTAATAAAAGGGTCAAATATACCAGGAAAGATAAAATTGTGAGCTTATATGTATATTCTCAAATATATTCAGGAAAAATTACAGGAATGTGTAGGTAAATTCAACAGTACATTTCAGAAATGTGAAAGACCAGGAAATAGAGAAAGTAGGGCTGAGCGTGGTGGCTCATACCTGAAATCCCAGCAGTTTGGGGGGCCAAGGCGGGTGGATCACGAGGTCAGGAGATCGAGACCATCCTGGCTAACACGGTGAAACCCCGTCTCTACTAAAAATACAAAAAAAAAAAAAATTAGCCGGGCGTGGTGGCGGGCGCCTGTAGTCCCAGCTACTCAGGAGGCTGATGTAGGAGAATGGCATGAACCTGGGAGGCGGAGCTTGCAGTGAGCCAAGATCACGCCACTGCACTCCAGCCTGTCGTATTTAAAATCAGGTGTTACCCTCAGCATGGGGGAGATGGAAGGAAGAATGAGGGGAGCGTGTAAGTTTCTAGCCAGATTTTATTTCCTAACCTGGGTAAGGTTATATACACTTGCTTTTTGTAATTCACTGAACTCTTTATGTGCACGTTTTCCCCCATATTTTCCACTGTACAATTAAAAAGATATTTTAAAAAGCAATATGGTACTTAGAAATGAATCTAAAAGGGTCTGTAAGATAAACAATACGGTACTTAGGAATGAATCTTAAAGGGCATGTAAAACTATTTTAAGAGAAAATTATAAAACTACATTGAAATATATTAAGACCTAAATAGTTGGAAAATTACACAATTGTAATAATAAAGATGTCACTAAATTAATTTCTAAATTAAATGCATTGCTACTCAGAATTCCAGTAGGATTTTTCGTGGAACTTGACAGGCTGATTCTAAAATATTTATGGAAAATCAAAAAACGTATATTTAAAGAATAAGATAAGGGATCTTGCCATACCAGACATCAAGACTTATTACATGTGTAGCTTATTTAAGACATCATTTACAAAGGAATAAACAGAAAGAAAAATGAAACAGAATGGTGACCCAGAAACATATCCATGAATGTGGAAACCTAACATACACAGAGATGGCATAACAATCTGTGGAGAAAGGATGAAGAGGAACTATTCAATAGAGTTTGAACCAATGAATATATATCTGGAAAAAATAAAATCAGATAAATCACTGCCACACACTAAACAGAAATGTATAGTATACCAGGCATATTAAAAGTAAATGGGATAACTAAGTTTTTAGAATTTAGATGGTCTGTCCTTATGACCATGTGATAATAAAAGATTTCTTAATCAGGACACGCAAAGCACCTACCCTAAAGGGAAAATATAATAAATATGCCATTATTAAACTGAAAAACTTTTTGCCTAAACGATATCAAACAATTAAAAGACATGAAACAGCCTGGGAGAAGATATTTATAATGCACACCACCTGCAAAGACATTTCACAGGAATGTTCATTGCAGTGCTTTTCAAAATAGGAAATAGCCTTAAGTTGATCAACAGAGGTGTATTCGTATATATTAATACAGTAGAATAATACATAACGTTCAGAATCAAAGACATATATTAATTGACTAACTCTCAAAATCATAATATTGAGTGAAAAAGTCATGGTGCGTAAAGGTACAGACAGTATTGTACCCTTCGTATAAGGTTTAAAGAAACTTGCAAAACAATGCTGTACACTGTTGGTTAATATATGCAATGTGGTAAAGAATTACAAAACATCCTTGATATTGATAAACTGTAAATTTGGTGTAAAGGCTGCTACTGAGAAGTGAGAATGGCATCATTGGGAACACTTTACACAAGAAACATTATATTTGTAATATTTTATTTCTTAAGCTCTATGGTAAATACTTGGGTGTTCATTTTGTTGCCTATATTTTTGGTATGCCTGAAATATTTTATTAACATTAAAACATTTTTTAATGATCTAAAAATTTCAGAAGACATTTAGAGAAAAGAGATTAGGAGGATTGAAGTAATAAGAAGTAAGAAAAATGTGTGAATTTAAAAGAGGTAGCAAGAGTTAACTGGTTCTTTGCATTTTTAGCAATCTCTATTGCCTTTCTGATTTCTTTGTTGAAAAATATACTTACAGATAAAAAAATCAAAAATGATCAAAAAAGTAGAAAAGAGAAATAGTATTAGACAAGTTTAAAAGGCTATAACTGCATGAAATTTTTAAAAAATTGTATGAGAATGCTGTATTTAAAATCTAGATGATAAAAGTGCTTTTCTTGGATTATATGAAATATAAAAATTGACTCCATAAGTGGTAAAAACTTTGAATAGGCCAAAGAACTTGAAAGCATTGTTCACATCTTTTTTCCTTTGAAAAAACATACCTGATCTTTCCTTTTTTTTTTTGTTTTTTTTTTTACTGTTGCATCAAACCATCAAGGAACAGATTTTTTTTAGAATGTTTTTATTTTATTTTATTTTTTTGAGACAGAGTCTCACTGTCGCCCCGGCTGGAGTGCAGTGGCACAGTCTCAGCTCACTGCAGCCTCCACCTCCTGGGTTCAAGTGATTCTCCTGCATCAGCCTCCTGAGTAGCTGGGACTACAGGCGTGCACCACGACGCCTGCTAGTTTTTGTATTTATAGTAGAGTTGGGGTTTCACCGTGTTGGCCAGGCTGGTCTCGAACTCCTGACCCCAAGTGATCCACCCGCCTCAGCCTCCCAAAGTGCTGGGATTACAGGTGTGAGCCACCCCGCCCGGCTTTAGAATGTTATTTTATTTAAACTGTTGTTGTACACAGTAAAGTATGAAAAATTTTTCAATTCATGTCACAGTTTTTACACAGGTGGAGCCTAAGAGGTACTTTTTTCCTAATATGTAAATGGGTTTGGGGTTTTGTTTGTAATTGTGGGGGAGGATTACTTGTCTGTTGTGTTTATTATCTTTCCTTTTCTGAAATCAAATGATGTCGTTATTCCAGATGCCTCAGTTCAAGTGCTAATCACTGGGGATGAGAACCTCTCAGACAAAAAACAGCAAGAGATTCACAGTACAAGGGCAGTGACTGAGGCTGCCCAGGCTAAAGAAAAAGAATCTTTGCAGAAAGATACTGCAGGTAGCTAAACTGGATTGTCTGCGTATTATTTTCTTCTGGTCTTCTAAAATGAGACTATTCCCTTAAGAACAGAAACAGAAATATATTCTCTATTTTCTTCTTGCTGTCTTCAGCTCTCTTCTATCTCATGTATATATGAAATAGTTAAGGTATGTTTAGCTATATTTTTTATATACTTTGGCAGGTAAAATTAACATATTTAAAGTTCTTTGTGATATTTCTGGAGGGTTTTGAATATAGTAAACAAATTAATCTAATTTCCAGAAATTCATTTAATGGACTTTTTACCTCCGCTGATAAAATCTCTCAATTCTGTGAGACACGGACCCTCTAATACCATTTTTGTACATAATCCTTTATTTAGGAATTCAGCTTGTTTACTTCCTACCTATCAGTTACTTTACTTCAAAGGGATTATGCTGATTTAAATAACCCTAATAGTGTATTTACGTTAGGATTAGTTTTGACTCAGAGAGGAAAACAAAAGCAAAATAACATAGGCTTGAAGAAGACAGAAAACTCTTTCTCTTTTTTGTAAAACTCCAGAGGTAAGCATCCAGAGTTGACCTGGTACTCCAGAGTATCGGAACAAAGCTGTTGCTCTCTTGTTACTCTAACATTTTTGGCCTTCATTCTTAAGCTGTAGCCATCAGCCCATATTGCAACCAGCAGGAAGAAAGGAAAGGAAAAAGCACATTCCTTCCTTTAAGGATACTTCTGAGAAGCTATATATACCATTCCTTTTGCATTCTATTGGCCAGACTTAGACACATGGTCACATGTACCAGGGAAGCTGGGAAATTGAGTTGTTATTCTAATAACAATGTGCCCAGCTAAAGTTAGGGTTCTGTTTAGAGGAAAAGGAAAGTGGATATTAGAGGACAGATAGTATTGATAGTTTCTGCCACAATTGTAAACTAAAACATTTTAGAACATGATTAGCTGCTTCTCTTCTTTAGGTATTGCTTGTTTAAAAAGGTTAGATTGTATTCTGGGCAACACTTCTGAATTTTACCCCATTTTACTATTACTAAATGAATGTTCCAAAAACAGTTTTGATCATGTTAATCTCCTAATCAAAAACTTTAGTGTTTCATTGCCTGTAAGGATAAAATCTAAACTCTTTTAGCACTGTCTTCTAGAACTGTAGAGTCCACTCTCAAACAACTTTCTAACACTAGTTCTCACCTCTTTTCCTTATAAATTCTATAATCAAATGCTATATACTTGCTCTGTTTCTTAGATGCTAAGTTACTTTCCTGACACCATTCTTGTGTTATGTAGTCACCTTTTTTTTCCATCTTAATGTGTATCCCATCTTAGCTCTCTTCTAATGCCAAAATCAGTTGTCTAGAGTTCTATGGTACTCCCACCTGCAATTAGTTTTTCTTTCTTTGAATACCGCTACCTCTTTTTCTGACTGTTTCTTACAGTATATCTGTTTACGTATGTGATTTTTTGCCCCAATTTTCAATTATTTTCTAAACGCATTTCTGAGTCATCTTTTTTCTTCAATATCAGTAACAAAGCCTTTCACATAATACGTACTTGAGAGACATTTAAAAATCTTTTATGTCAAGTTCCTGTCTGTATAGTGTGTTAATTTCCCTTTCGTAGATTCCAGTGCTGCTGCTGCTGCAGAGCACTCAGCTCAAGTAGGAGACCCAGAAATGAAGAACTTGCCAGACACTAAAGCCATTACACAGAAAGAGGAGATCCATAGGAAGAAGACAGTTCCCGAGGAAGCCTGGCCAAACAATAAAGAATCCCTACAGATCAATATTGAAGGTAATGGGATTGGGTTGTGTATGAGTGTGTGTGTCTTTGTGTGTATGTGAGGGTCAGTGTTAGTGTTTCCATTTCATTCTGATGAGAATATAGCCTCATGATTAAACAAAAATTCCTTTTCTTTTTTTAAAACTTTCTTGTGTAAAGTACTTTGATGCTACTATTAGGTTACTATATATATATATAGATTTCCAAAAAGTAATTGTTACTTTTTGGAAAAGATATTAGCAACTTAGAAACAGGATTATAAATAAATACCTAAGGCTGATAGTTTTAGAAGTGAAGTATCTTGTCTCAGTCCCCAGAGACAACCTTAAAGGCCTTCCAGAAGACTATAGCAAAGATAGTGAGACCATCAATACAAACTTTTAAAAAATTACAATAAAATCACATTTATTTTTGTTTGTCCATGGGTCTCTTTTTCTGACATAAAAGCGTATAGAACACAAGACATTACTACCTAGCCATCAAGCTTTACCTCTTAGAGGAAGATGGAACAGCCTACATAAGGAGAGAAAAGAGTCAAGGAGCTAAACTACCCATACTGGATTTTGGAAATAGTCTGGGTTCAACTGCTTACATCAAGAATATACAAAATAAATGATTTTTTGACAATAGCCAAGACTACACAATGGGGAAAGGATAGTCTCTTCAACAAATGGTGTTGGGAAAACTAGATATCCACATTTAAAAGAATAAAGGTGGACCTTTTCTTTACACCACATACAAAAGTTAACTCAAAAAGGGTTAGTGACATACATGTAAGACCTTAAAACCATAAAACTCCCAGAAGAAAACATAAGGGGAACACTTCAGGACATTGAACTTGGCAGTGATTTCTCAGATGTGACACCAAAAACACAGACAACAAAAGCAAAAATAGACCAATGAAACTACATCAAACTTGAAAACTTCTGCATGACAAAGTAGACAAGAGTGTGAATAGGCATTCTACAGAATGAGAGAAGATATTTGCAAATCATGGATCTGATAAGGGATTAGTATTCAGAATATATAAAGAACTTATGCAACTCAATAGCAAGAAAAACCCAAACAACTTATTTTTAAAAACACGTAACTTATTTTAAAATGAGCAAAGGACTTGAATAGACAATAGAAGATATACAAATGCCATATCAAGCATATAAAAAGATGCCCAATCTCTCTAATCATAAGAGAGATGCAAATCAAAACCACAATGAGATATCACTCACACCTGTTAGGATGACCACTATCAAAAGAAAAAATAGCAAATGTTCGTGAGGATGCAAGGAAATTGAAACCCTTGTTCACCATTGGTGGGAATGTAAAATGATGTAGCTATTATGGAAAATATTATGGAGGTTCCTCAGAATAATAAAAAAGAATTAGTATATGATCCCGCAATCCCACTGCCACTGCTGGGCATATAACCTAAAGAATTCAAAACAGGACTTCAAAAAGCTACCTGTATACTCATGTTTATTGCAGCGTTATTTATAATCAAGAGGTGGAAGCAACCCACATGTCCATCAACAGATGAATGTATTAAGAAAATGGGAATTATTTGTCAATAAAGAAAGCATGTTACATACATATTTGTATTGTGCAGCCTTAAGAAAGAAGGAAATCCTATCACATACTACAAGGTAGGTGAACCTCAAGAACATTATACTAAGTAAAATAAATCAGTCACAAAAAGATAAATACCATATGGTTTCTCGCAAATGTTGAGGGATTTAGGAGGATGAGAGAGACCTTGGGTTTAAACAGGAGAGTCTTTTATTGAGTGCACTCAGGCCCAGCAGACTCACGTCCAAAGGCTGGGCCCAGAACAAAGACAGCACTTGACTTTTATACACACTTCACAAAAGGGGATGGGCTAGCTTGAAGCAAGCTTACAGTGGCGTGAAAGCGGGAATACAGAAGCAGGACAAAGACAGTTAATCAAATTGTAACAGGTTCATAACTCAGGATTGCACATAACCGTTGCTATGCAACCCAGATGTCCATTATCTAGGTTTGTCTAGGCACGGGCTTATCCCATAACCTTCACTATGGTGCCCAGGCAGCTGTAGTTCAGGCCTACTCAGGCTTCTCATGACCTTCATTGTACTTCTTAGATAAAACAGAATACTTGAAGTCACTAGTTACAGAGAACAGGAATCTATAAACTCATTCCATAAAACAAAGGAAAATTTGTTTTTTCTTCTCCCTGTGTTGAAGGAGTGCTGGGAGAGTCTCCAGAGCACATTACATAATATTATCAAGACTTTTCCTGGGTCTGGGCTGTGCCTGTTGCTGCCTCTGGGACAAGTCAGCCTAATGCAGGAAAACTTATTTCTCTTTCTTTTTAATTTTATTTTTCTTTAATTTCCCACCTCAGTATGAAATATCTAAAGTAGCTGAAATCATAGAAACAGAAAGTAGAATAGTGATTGCCCAGGCTTGTGAGAGGGTGGACAGAGAATTAGTGTTTAGTAGGTGTAGGGTTTCAGTGTTACAAGATGAAAGAGTTAGAGATTGTTGCACAACAATGTGAATATACTTAACACTACTGAACTGTACACTTAAAAATGGCTAAGGTGGTTAATTTAATGTCATACTATTTGTCACACACAAAAATAATACATAAGATGAAGAAATATAACATTGCAACTTTGCAGGGGTTAGTGTGGGAGACATAGCTTGCAAAAGAAAGATGGAAATATAATCTGTAAAAGCATACTCTAGAAGATAAGAAAAATTTTTCTAAATGTTTTACACTCTGAATAATTTTAGAAGACATGAAGTATATGAAATAAAAATTGATAGAATAATGAAATGAAAAGGGAGATTTAGGGGATAGAACAAAATGAAATGAAAAAAAAGTACCAATTAGAAGAAAGAGATGAAAGCAATTAAAAAAAAATGATGGAATTTGAAGGCTGACAGTGAAAATCCAACACAATGATATCTGTTGTTGCCTCTAAAGAAGATAATAGAAAAATAAAGATATAAGGAAGAATGGAACTTACAATTGTATGTATGTATGTATGTATGTATGTATGTATGTATTTTTAGACATGGAGTCTCATTCTGTTGCCCAGGCTGGAGTGCAGTGGTGTGATCATAGCTAACTGTAGCCTCAAACTCCTGGGCTCAAGTGATCTTCCCACCTCAGCCTGTAGAGTAGCTGGGACTGTAGGCACATGCTACCACACCTGGCTTGAACCTGTAATTTAAAAGGACGTACCAAGTCCTAGGAAAATTTTGTATATAGTGTTCAATACTGAGATGTATGTTTGCGATAGTACTGAACTTTAAAGAAAAAGAATGAATCATGCAGGCCTCCATACAGAAAAAAACAAGTAGAAAATGCTAAAAGACAGGGGGACAGGCAGAGGACAGGGAGGTTAAAGGAGGTATAAATGAGCAAACTTCACCTTTAAAGTTGTAAAATCAAAAAATACATGTGTAAGTAATTATAGGGTTGAAAATTATAGGCCAGACGCGGTGGCTCATGCCTGTAATTCCAGCACTTTGGGAGGCTGAGGTGGGTGGATCACCTGAGGTCAGGAGTTTGAGACCAGCCTGACCAACATGGAGGATCCCCATATCTATTAAAAATACAAAATTAGCCGGGCATGGTGGTGCATGCCTGTAATCCCAGCTACTCAGAAGGCTGAGGCAGGAGAAGCGCTTGATTCCGGGAGACAGAGGTTGCAGTGAGCTGAGATCATGCCATTGCACTCCAACCTGGGCAACAAGAGTGAAACTCCATCTCAAAAAAAAAGAAAATTATAAAATTTACCCCTAAAAGAGTTAAAATTAAACTATAAAACATCCAAAATATTTAGAAAAACAGGTTAGCTTGGAGGTAAAGGGAGGGAAAAAGAAAACAGTAAATTTGTAACAAAAACAAAAAATTGCCATAAAATGAAAGACAGCAAAGCATGCAAGTCTATATATAAGTAAACTAAATTCACCTATATTAAAAAAAAAAAAACTTCTTGGATTATATTAAAAAACAAACCCAGTTCCATGCTATATAACAAACATATCAAAAGTAAAATTACTGAGAAAGGTGGAAAGCAAAAAGAAAACTTAGAGATGTATCAAAAAGAAATTTGGGGACATTAATATAGATGAGGTTAAATTCACCAAAAGTTTTGCAGGAATTGAAGAGGTATATTTTTATACTGATTTGCAATCCACAATGAGGATATTTTGCATAAATCTTTAAACATCAAATAACTTAGCATAAAAAATTCATAAAACGAAAACCAGGAGCTCAATCAATAAGGAAATTTATGTTGCCTTAAAAAAGAATGAAGGAGGGCAGGGTGCGGTGGCTCACGCCTGTAATTCCAACACTTTGGGAGGCTGAGGCGGGCGGATTAAGAGGTCAGGAGATCAAGACCATTCTGGCTAACATGGTGGAACCCCGTCTCTACTAAAAATACAAAAAAATTAGCCGGGCGTGGTGGCAGGCGCCTGTAGTCCCAGCTACTCAGGAGGCTGAGGCAGGAGAATGGCATGAACCTGGGCGGCAGAGCTTGCAGTGAGCCGAGATCACGCCACTGCACTCCAGCCTGGGTGACAGAGCGAGACTCCATCTCAAAAAAAAAAAAAAAAAATAAAAATAAAAAATGAAGGTATGGAATTATATGAAAACAACTCTTAGGATGGATTGTGAGGCAAAAGGTGCTTAACAGGGGGATTGGACGGTGGAATTTGCTTGTAGGGAGAAAAAAAATAAAACAGACAACCCTAGGAAATCTTCAAAGAGAAATGGACAAATACAAAATAATACTGGGGAGCTTGAACACACATAATTAGCTTATGACAGATCGTGGAGATGAAAATTTTTTTTGTAAGTGAAGTTTAAAAACACCTGGGAATAATACAAGTAATGAGGTTGATGTGGGGTGTGTGTGGCTGTGTGTGTGTGTCTGTGTGTGTGCATGCATGCATAAGCCTATATGGGTTAAACTTAAAAAAAAAACCCTTTCCAAAAGACCATAGAAAATTTTTTCATACAGCTTTATTCAGATATAATTTACCCATTTAAAATATGTAAGGCTGGGCACAGTGGCTCATGTCTATAATCCCAGCACTTTGGGAAGCTAGGGTGGGTGGATCACTTGAGATCAGGAGTTCAAGACCAGCATGGTCAACATGGCGAAACCCCGTCTCTACTGAAAATACAAAATATAGCCGGGCATGGCGGTGCATGCCGATAATCCCAGCTATTCAGGAGGCTGAGGCAGGAGAATCACTTGAACCTGGGAGGCAGAGGCGACAGTGAGCCAAGATCGCGCCACTGCACTTCAGTCCAAACGACAGAGCAAGACTCCGTCTCAAAAAAAAAAAAAAAAAAAAAATCAAACATGTAATTCAATGATTTTTACTGTATTCACAGATAAGTGCAATCAACCATCACCATAATCAATTTTAGAATATTTTCTTCACTTCAAAAAAGAAACCCTGAGACTTAAGCAAATACTGATCCACTTTTTGTCTCAGTAGATTTCCCTATTCTGGACTTTCATACAAATGGGACCATTAAGTTGGGGACATAACATGAAACTTAGGGCCCGCCCATAATGAAAAATGTTAAAGGAAATTCCCATGTAAAGTAGGCCTCCAGTGGGCTACACTCTTACTATAAGAATAAAAGATAAACACGTCCATGTAGAAGGGGACAGTAAGAAAACTGCCTGTTTTAACCTTGATAATGAGTTTGGGGAAAGAAGACAAAATTTATCCTCAGAATTTATAACCACAAACTAGTGTTCACACAGATTTACAGTCATTAATTTTGTACTGGTATAATTTATTAGTGCAGTAAACTACAGGTGTGTTCTGAAAAATCTCAAGCCGAGAATTTAACAATGGCAGTAGGTTGGTATTGCAGACTCACATGCCTTTCGGATGCAAATGCACATCTCTCTGAAGAAACTTCAACCCAGACCTAAAATACCCTAAATTCCCTAAAATACCAAGCTCATAGTCAAGGCACTATTAGTAGAAACAGTATCAACAACAAGAAACAGAAATGAGACCCACAATTACAAATGTCCAGGATTCCTTGGCAAAATGCCTGATTCTCAGACTGGGACAGGAGATATATTAGATGAGCCTGAACCCTTTTGTGGTGCCAGAAAGTAAAGAAAAAAAAATGCACAGGGATGGGGAATATGTCAATGGAACACAGGGACCAAGTAAAAAACTTCCCAGTGGCTAAAGCTGGGACAGTTTCTGTAGTATAGCAATAGTATTAGATCATAACCAAAGTATAAAATAAATACCTATGAGTCTGTACTGATAAAAGTAAATGATTTAATAAATAAATGGGGGGAAATGACAAATCTGTGCAGAATTCTAAATAATGTATGTAGATATTCCACCATCAGGGAGGTGGAACATAACTCCCACTCTTAACTAATGGGTTGCACATAGTAACTTAACTTCCTTCCAAAGAGTGTATTTTTATAGGAAGGGGGAAAAAGAATAACTATATAGTGAAGAATTCTGGCAAACACTGGCTCAGCCGGGTCATCAAGATCATCATCAATAGTGGTAAGTCATGTTGATAGTATGTACCCTTAATATGTAATGAGAAATATATTTTAACTTTGAAATCTTCTTCCCAAAAACCCATAACCCCAGTCTAATGAGAAAAACATGAGACAAACTCAAATGAAGGACATTTATACTTGACCAGTACTTCTCAAAACTGTCAGAGTCATGAAAAACAAGGGATGCCTAAGAAATTCTCACAGACCTAAGAGAAGCCTAAGGAGACATGATAATTAAATGTAATGTGGTGTCTTGGATAGAATCCTGGAACAGAAAAAGAACAGTATGTACAAAACAAGGCAACACAAAGTATGGCCTTTGGTTAATAATAATGTAACTTTATTGATTGATTCATGGTAATATATTGTATTAATGTAAGGTGTTAATAGGGGAAACTGGGTATGGGGTATAGGTAATCATCTGTACTGTTGTCACCGTTTTTCTGTAAATCCAAATTATTCTAAAATTAAAAGTTTATTTTAAAAAATTAATGCATTCTGACATTAAAACAGGTGGATAGATAAATGATAAATAAGAAATTTCATCTTCTTAAAGAAAACACTTTACAGCTTCTCTTTGGCATAACCAATTTGCTGGCGTTACTGCTCTTGCACTTTGGGGCCATTACTAACTACAGTTAGGGTTACTTGAACACAGGCACTGCAGTATCATGACAGTCACCCTGATAACCCAGACAGCTATGAAGTGCCTAAGGGGCAGGTAGTGTAAATGTACGGACATGCTGGATAAAGGGAGGATTCACATCCTAGGGTGGGATGGAGCAGGATGACAAGAGATTTCATCATACTACTCACAACGACGTGCAATTTAAAAATCATGAATTGTTTCTGGAATTTTCCATTAAATATTTTTGGACCATGGTTGACTATGGGTAAATGAAACCTTAGAAAGCAAAACCACAGATAAGGGGGACTACTGTATTCACACCTAATGTGTGGGGTTTCCCCTCACGTTAAGCAGTTCTGACACTGACAACCTGTACTTAGCACAGTCCCCACAGGTTATGGGTTCAGTCCCACAAGACTGCCCACCACTTCAGATACCAATTGCATGGCTTGGCCTCCTATACTTCTGACCAACTAGCTCCAAATTGGGGTGGTGGGGAGAATCCCATGACCCCCTCCTCAGGTTTGGTAATTTGCTCGAATGGCTCAGAAAACTTAGGGAACATTTTCTTACATTTCCTGATTTTTTATGAAGGATATTTCAAAGGATACGCACGAACAACCAAATGAAGAGATACATGGGCAAGGTATAGGGAAGGTGCACAGAGCTTCCATGTCCTCTCTGGGCCTGCCATCCTCCCAGCTTCTCCTGTGTTCACCAGATGTGAAGCTCTTCAAACTCTGTCTGTTAGGGTTTTTATGGAGGTGCCATTACATAGGCAATATTGATTAAATCATTGGCCATTGGTGATTGGCTCAACCTGCAGTCCCTGTCCCCTCCCCAGAGATCAGGGGTTGGGGCTGGAAGTTCCAGCCCTCTAAACATATGGTTGTTCCCTTGGTAAACAGGCCCCCCATCCTAAGGGGCTTTCCAAAATTCACCTCATTAATGTAAACTCAAGTGCAATCAGAAGTGACTTGTTTTGAATAACAGACCCTCCTTGAACCTTTATCACTCGCTCTTGAACTGTTTCAAGAACCAAGTACAAAAACCAAATGTCATAATAAAAGATGCCCCTATTGCTGTTATCCCGTTTTCCTAAATGGAAATTACAAGAGTTTTAGTAGTTCTGGCCAGGAGCTAGGGTTAAGGCAAAATATGTATTTATTATATCACAGTATTACAATTTACAGGGTATTTAAATGAATTATACAGTGATAATAGTAAAAGGATGCTACTGGGACAAGAGACTGATACATCAGTGAAAATACTTAAATACAGTGGGCACTTACTCTATGATAAAGGTGCCATTTCAGATCCATTTGTAAAAAGATGGATTACTCAACAAATAATGCCAAGATGCTTTGCTAGCCATTTAGAGTATCGTGAGAATTTTAAGTTGTAGCCCTACTTTACTCCTGTCACCAAAATGCAAGTATAAAAGATCCAAGTATAAAAAAGAGATCATAAAAGTTCTGGTTTTCTGACTTTTCTAATAAATTTGAGCAGAAGAAGGCTTTCAAGGTCTGACAAAATCTTGGAGTCATAAAGCCAAAGATTTGATAAATGTATATATTAAAATTAAAGTGTCTTCATGGTAGAAAATATCATAATGCAAAATCAATTTATAAATGAATAATGGGAAAACAATTTTAAAAAATTGAGAAACTGAGAAAAGGGGCTAATTTTCTTACTATGCAAAGAGCTTTTTACAAATCAATGACAGCCTAAAAGGAAAACAAAGGACCTGAACAAAAAGCTTATAGTAAAAGAAATGCAAATGGCCATTAAAGATATGAAGAAATACTTAACTGTCTTAATAAAGAATGTACTAAGCCACAAATTTTGTTTTACCTGTCACAATAGCACAGATGAAAAGATTTGATTATCCTTAGTATTGTTGAGTACATGGGGAAACATTCATGTACTCTTATAAGACTATTATTAGAAGTGCAAATTTGTTGCAACATTTTTGAAAGTGTGGAACAATTGGATGATATCTAACTAATGTTGAAATAAATATTCCCTTTTCACCCAGACTTCCATTTAAGGGAATAACAGATACACAGATAAAGTTGTACCTAGAAAAATAAAATGAAGCTACACATAAACGCACAAACAAATGTTCACTGCAGCATGCTTTGGAAGAATAAACTATTGGAAACAACCTAAATATTTAGTTAAATTTTGGTAAAGTAAATCAGTTTAATATAAAATGTTTGTAGATGCACAAAATCTTGCTTTGAACAAGTAGTTTTACTCTACTTGGCAGGAATTTTTCTATAAGAAAACTTGTTTAATATTGGTTATCACCAGAAAGTGGAACTAGGAGGTTCAGAGATAACCGGGAGAACTTTACTGTTCATATTAAATTTGTCTGCATTATTTGAATATTTTGCATGTTTAATTTTTAAAAGTCTGCAGTTCTAGGTATGAAAGAAATATTTAAAAATAAATGAAAAGCAGTAAATGATATTTTCATGTACTTTTATATATTCGGGGAGAATTTTGCAAATGTTATGAGTAAAATTAATTCCATTATCAGAAGTAAATAACTACTTCAACTTATTTGACCTTTACTCTTAACAAAGTGCCATGAGATGATGGTGATTATCAAATCCTGTTGTTTTATAAAGCCCTTTATACTTAAGGAATTCAGCTTGCTTGCTGCTGCTTCTGCTTCTTTTTTTTTTTTTTTTTTTTTTTTTTTTTTTTTTTTTGAGATGAAGTCTCGCTCTGTCGCCCAGGCTGGAGTGCAGTGGCACGGTCTTGACTCACTGCAACCTCCACCTTTTGGATTTAAGCAGTTCTCCTTCCTCAGCCACCACAGTAGCTGGGATTGCACGTGTGCACCACCGCACCTGGCTAATTTTTGTATTTTTAGTAGAGATGGGGTTTCACCATGTTGGCCAGGCTGGTCTTGAACTCCTGACCTCAAGTAAGCCACCCCCATTGGCCTTCCAAAGTGCTGGGATTACAGGCCTGAGCCACCGTGCCCAGCCTTCAGCTTGCTTATTTTCTACTATCCTTTCTGTATTTTACTTCATTCCCAGGCTGGGAGGACTATGTTCATTGAAAATACTGATATTAGGGAATAAACATTTTAGAGCAATGTTATCTATTTCCTTATTGTTTTACTTACTGCTTTAATGAATTCTAGATAGGCCTTCAAATTTTTGCTTTATTCTGTTGCCAAGGTATCCTTCCTGAAATACAGCCATAATTATGTTACTCGCCTGTTCAAAATGGTATACTGGCTCTTCATTTCTTTTAAGAATAAAATTTAAAGTCCTTGGCCTAGTGTTCCAGGCCCTGTAGAATTTGGCCCCAAATAACCTTTGCTACCTTACTTTCCTCTGCTTTATAAATGAAATAAGCCATACATACTGAATATTTGCACTCTCCCTTATTGCCTCAGTTCTTTCCTACTTTTATGCTTTTGCTCATGCTATTTGATGAAGCAGGGGAAAGGCCAGCACAACTATAGTATAGTTATCAGGAAGAGTGGTACAAAATGAGGAAGAAAAGTTATGTATACTTGTACTTCTTGTTAAGGAGTTTGGGCTTTGTTCTTAGTGTAAGAGAAGGTCATTGAAAATTGCTAAATAGAAAATGACAAGTCCAGCTTACATTTTAAAAAGACTACTTTGACCACTATTTGACAAATAGATTGGAAAGGTACAAGAAGGGACAGGAGACCTATTAGAGACTTGCAGTATTGTGACAGGAAATAGAAATAGATGTGTGATTGTTTGGTGAAGGATTAATGACAGGAACAGGAAGAGGAGGGAGTTGGAACTATCAAGAATAACTCCCAGATTTTGGCTTGGGCAGTAGGATGATGTGCCATTCACAGAGATGTGGAAGACTAGGGAAGGTACAGTTGTCAAGGAGGCTAGAATAGAGCTCAGTTAGATGGCTGTGACATCCAAGTGGATATATCATGTATATAGTTGGAACTCAAGAAAAATCGTAGCTTGAAATGCAAATTTGAAAATAAGTAACAGCATGGAAATGGTACTAAAAGCCACAGGGAGAGATGAGATTACCTAGAAAGAGAATATAGACTGAGAACATTTCCTGGAAATTGGCCATACATTGAGGTCATTGATCATATTAGCAAGAGCACTTTTAGTCCAGAAGTATGGCTGTACTCTGCAGTAATTTGAAGAGGGAATTGGGGTAGGGAGAGAGGTAAAGGAGAGGAAAATAGGTTCCTCTTTAGAAGCTTGGCTATGAAGAGGAGCAGAGAAGTGGGCCAGTACCTGGAGGAAGATGTGAGGATTTTCTAAACATACATACTAAATGATGTTTTCAAGCCAATGGAAATGACCCTGAAAGATAGAAGAGAGATATGATAGGGAAAGGAAGCAAGGTCTGGAAGGGAAGATGAGTTGGGTTCCAGAGCAGCATTGGAGGAACTTGCCTTTAAAAGAATGGGAGAGGTGGTGTTGTCTCTGTATCCAGAAAGGTTATGGGAGCAGGTGGATTGGCATAGGTGGCAGCTGCCTCAGGACATCCACAGAAAGTGATCCCTCAGCCCAGAATGTTCTTCTTCCTGTTTGTTTGTTTAGCTCTCATTTTTACTTCACATCTCATCCTCCTCAGAGAATTCTTCTCTAGCTACCATTTCCCAGTAAAATTTCTCTTATATCAGCTTGTTTTTGTTCTTTGTAGCCCCTAATTTAGAATTATATATTTGTTTGCATTTGTTCAGTGCAGAAGCTGCAATCTCAAGAACCTGTAGAATCTAAATGAAATCTCCCAATTTTTAAATGTTGCTAGATAATTCTAAAATTGTATAGTCTACATACTTTAGGTATAAATGCAGGCCCTGTGTGTCCCACTCTACTCTGGGGAAGTCCGTAGGGATTCCTAGAGTATTTCATGAAAACTCTGCTTGCCAGTAATCTATAGTGTGGGTGAAAAGGATCCCATCATTGCATGTGTGTATCTTTGTTTCTGCCCATGATGTAGAACTCTAAAACAGTGTTTTGATGTCATATCAGAGATTAGAATTAGGGTTTATGATTGTGTCTTAGCTCATTCCTGCTGCTGTAACAAAATTCTGCAGATCTAAGATCAAGGCACCAGCAGATTGGGTGTCTGGTGAGAGCCCAGTCTCTGCTTCCAAAATGGTGTCTTGTTGCTTTGTCCTCACGTGGTGGAAGGCAGGGAAAGGCCAAACAGGAGCCTTCAGGCCAAAGGGCACTAATCCCATTCATGAAGGTGGAGCCTTCATGACCTAATCACCTCCTACCTAATACTATTATATTGGGGATTATGTTTCAACATGAATCTTAGAGGGACGCAAACATTCAAACCATAGAAAATTGTAAGATATTACATCTAAAAATGTCAAAAAATGAAGATAGAAAGTGGTAAATTTTATGTGTTTTTTACCACAATAAAAAAAAATTTGGAAAAAAAGTCAAGATGGTCCACAGAAAAGGAATTTCAAAGGGCTCTAAAACATGTAAAAAGGGTTTTTTAAAAAATTTATCCATTTAATTACTGACTATGAGAATGAAGTGTCAGGTTTCTTAGCTGAATATGGGGTTACCAATATCTGTCAGGTTTAATAGCAGGATTAATTAAAAAAAAAACAGATGCAGAGCATATGTCATAACACCCTACACAGAACAGGTGGTAAATACATATAGCAGTTGCTTTTATGATCTGGAGAACTGAAGTGCCTTCCTCCAGGTCACGTAGCCGGTCAGTGGCAGAGCCCAGGCCAAAATTCATGTCTCTTAAACTTTTACTGTACCAGCGAGGCTACTAAGAACAAGGCATCAGTCTTTTGTGCAGGCAGTGAATTTTCTGATACCTTATATAAACTATTCTTTCCTTTAGTCTTTGTTCTGTATCTAAAGAATTGTGAATAGTATTTCTAAACAGAATGCTAATTTTTTAAGTTCTTTCAAAATCTTTTTTTCTCCTTTTCAGAGTCCGAATGTCATTCAGAATTTGAAAATACTACCCGTTCTGTCTTCAGGTCAGCAAAGTTTTACATTCATCATCCCGTACACCTACCAAGTGATCAAGATATTTGCCATGAATCTTTGGGAAAGAGTGTTTTCATGAGACATTCTTGGAAAGATTTCTTTCAGCATCATCCAGACAAACATAGAGAACACATGTGTCTTCCTCTTCCTTATCAAAACATGGACAAGACTAAGACAGATTATACCAGAATAAAGAGCCTCAGCATCAATGTGAATTTGGGAAACAAAGAAGTGATGGATACTACTAAAAGTCAAGTTAGAGATTATCCAAAACATAATGGACAAATTAGTGATCCACAAAGGGATCAGAAGGTCACCCCAGAGCAAACAACTCAGCACACTGTGAGTTTGAATGAACTGTGGAACAAGTATCGGGAGCGACAGAGGCAACAGAGACAGCCTGAGTTGGGTGACAGGAAAGAACTGTCCTTGGTGGACCGACTTGATCGTTTGGCTAAAATTCTTCAGAATCCAATCACACATTCTCTCCAGGTCTCAGAAAGTACACATGATGATAGCAGAGGGGAACGAAGTGTGAAGGAATGGAGTGGTAGACAACAGCAGAGAAATAAGCTTCAGAAAAAGAAGCGGTTTAAAAGCCTAGAGAAAAGCCATAAAAATACAGGCGAGCTTAAAAAAAGCAAGGTGCTTTCTCATCATCGAGCTGGGAGGTCTAATCAAATTAAAATTGAACAGATTAAATTTGATAAATATATTCTGAGTAAACAGCCAGGTTTTAATTATATAAGCAACACTTCTTCGGATTGTCGGCCCTCAGAGGAGAGTGAGCTGCTCACAGATACTACCACCAACATCCTTTCCGGCACCACTTCTACTGTCGAATCAGATATATTGACCCAAACAGATAGAGAGGTGGCTCTGCACGAAAGGAGTAGCTCTGTTTCCACTATTGACACTGCCCGGCTGATTCAAGCTTTTGGCCATGAAAGAGTATGCTTGTCACCCAGACGAATTAAATTATATAGCAGCATCACCAACCAACAGAGGAGATACCTTGAGAAGCGGAGCAAACACAGCAAGAAAGTGCTGAATACAGGTCATCCCCTAGTGACTTCTGAGCACACCAGAAGGAGACACATCCAGGTACATGGCTACAGATTCCATCTGGCAATGTGACTGCCCTCTTCATGGACTTTTTAGTTAAGCTTTGCACACAGGTGAAAAAAACAAGCCATTTGCCCTTTCCTCTCTATACCATTTCTTACCAACTGGAAAAGAGTGAGAAAGTGTAGTACAGTGCTATTGTGAGTTGTCATTATTTTCATCAACATTCATTTACGAATTACCTTTTGAATGAAGGGCTTTGCTGCTAGATCCTTCACAGTCTGCAAAGTTTACCCCTGAAATGGGGGAGCTTTGAGGTTAGAATGATCTCTATCCTGAACAATATTGCTGGGTTTATGTTTATTTGGGTTTTTTTTTTTTAATTCATTCCTCTCTGTCTTTCAGGAAATATATTTGAGGTTCTTTTAAACACACACACACAGACAAACACATAAATAATACAGGGTTTTTTTTTTTGTAATTGAAGAATGGAGTTGATTTGAAAAATTGAAGCTGGGGTGAGCTACAATATGATTTTTTAAAAATGAGTAAATAAGGAATTGTGAATAATGGAAAGACAAGTCAAAGCCAGGAGGAAGATAAATAAGCCTTGTGGATGTGGTCGCTAGAAAAGAGCTACAAATTTGGCTTTATGTTTTCTAGCACTTAGTGTTGCTAGAATTTTGTGATCAATAACATTCACTTTTTAATATAAAAAGAGAACAAAATTTTTAGAAACATTACAGATTTCTGATAAGAGACCTAAAATAAATTTCTCTCATCTGTCTTCTTAAAGAAGGCACCACAGTGCAACAAAGAGTATCCTCCTATAAGGCCATTATCACATTCCTTAGTTTAGGGTGTTAATAAGGGAGATCTCAAGGGGTCAATAAATGTAGGCCATTGCTTTAACCCAAGAGGAAAATTTCAAGTATCACTAGACATGCTCTCCAAAGAAGGATGCTTGCAAAATGGTTCAGTGGAGTATGGAACGAAAAATATTTGAATTTATATTCATTTTCCCCAACTTTTTAAAATTTATATTTTTGTGTATATTTTATGAGTACAGTAGTGACATAACATATAAATAAATATCTATTTTGACAACTTGTGCTAAAAAAATTTTTGTCAGATTACATGATCAAAAGAAATTGGAGACCACTGGTCTAGAGAAAGGGAGGCATGAGATGTTCAGACAATTTATTATAAATATTATTTCTCCTCATTGAGCTTTTGGCAGTGTTTACATATATAAATAATAGAGTATGCTTTTTTTCTAAAGTAAGTGAAGAATTGGGAATGGTACAGAGTAAGGCTTTTGTTCCATAGGGGAGATAGATAAATGGATCCAGGAGAGGGTTTGTGTGTGTGTAGTAAAATACACATGACATAAAGTTTACAGTTTTGATCATTTTCAAGTATACAATTCTGTGGCATTGAGTATATTCACAGTGTTTTACAACCATCACCACTATCTATTTCCAGAAATTTTTAATTAACCCAGTGGAAACCCTGTACCCATTAAGCAGTGACTCTCTGTTCCCTCTTCTCACCAGCCCCCGGCAACCAGTAATCTATTTTCTGTCTCTGAGGATTTTCCTATTCTGGTTGTTTCATATAAATGGAATCATTTAATATATGACCTTGGTATCAGGCTTCTCTCTCTTAGACACAGTGTTTTGAATATTCATCCATGACATAACATGTATCAATACTTCGTTGCTTTTTATAGCTGAGTATTATTCCGTTGCATGTATATACCACATTTTGTTTATCCATTCATTTATTGATTTGGGTTGTTTCCACTTTTTGGTTATTGTGAATAGAATTGATATAGAACGTTTGTGTACACCTGTCTGCAATTCTTTTGGGTATATATCTAGGAATGGAAATGCTGGGCCATATGGTAATTCTGTGGATTAGCTTATTGAGGAACTGCCAGACTATTCCATAGTACCTGCACTATTTTGCATTCCCATCAGCAGTGTATAAGGGTTCCTCCAACCCTCCTCCTTTTTTCCACAGCGACTGCTTTAGTTTATATTCGCACCAGCAGTTCACAAGGGTTTCAATTTTATTGCATCCTTGCCAACACTTATTTTCCATTTTTTAATATATAAACTAACCATCCTGTTGGGTGTGAGTTAGTATCATTGTGGTTTTGATTTGCATTTCCCTAGTGATTATTCATGTTGCACATCTTTTTATGTGCTTATTTAACCATTTGTATATCTTCTTTTGAAAAATGTCTTTTCAAGTCATTTGGCCATTTTAAATCTGGCTGTTTGATTTTTTGGTTTTTGAGTTGTTGGGATTTTCTATATATTCTGGATATTGATCTCTTGTTAGATACATGATCTGCAAATATTTTCTCCCATTTTGTAGGTTGCCTCTTTCACAGTCACTCTGCTGACCGTGTCTTCTGACATATAGAAGTTTTAAATTTTGATGTAGTCCAATTTAGCTATTTTTTTTTTGTTTTTTGTGCTTTTGGTGTCATATCTTAGAAATATTTGCCAAATCCAGTGTCGTGAAAGTTTTCTTCTTAAGAGTTTAATAATTTTAGCTTTTACTTTTAGGTCTTTGATCCATTTTGAGTTAATTTTTGTGTATGGTGTAAGATAAGGGTCCACCTTCATTCTTCTGCATGTGAATATCCCGTTTTCTCAACATCGTTTGTTGAAAAGACTTTTTTTCCCCATTGAATGTTCTTGGCACTCTTGCCAAAAATCGTTTAGCCATATACGTGAGGGTTTTTATCTGGGCTCTCTATTCTGTTAGTCTATATATCTCTCTTTATGCCACTACTGCACTGTTTTGATTTACTGTGTATTTAAAATGAGTTTTGAAAGCAGGTAGTGTGAAACCTGTAACTTAGTTCTTTTTTCAAAATTATTTTGGCTGTTTGGTTTCCCTTGAGATTTCATGAATTTTAGTAAATATTTTATTGTTTTTAATACTACCATATGTGCAATTTCTTTCTTAATTTCATTTTTGGATTATTCATTGCTAATGTATAGGTACATAAATAATTTTTACATACTGATCTTGTATCTTGCAGCTTTGCTGAATTTATTAACTCTTTTTTTGTGTGGATTTTTAAGGATCTCTAGGATTTCATGTTGAGGAAGTTCCCTTCTTTTTCTATTTTGATGAGTGTTTTTGTCATCAAAGCATTTTGGTGTTTGCCAAATTCTTCAGCATCTATTGAGATTACTAGTTTTTTCTTTTTCTTTTTCTTTTTTTTTTTTTGAGACAGAGTTTCACTCTTGTTGCCCAGGCTGGAGTGCAATGACGTGATCTCAGCTCACTGCAACCTCTGCCTCCTGGGTTCAACCAATTCTCCTGCTTCAGCCTCCCGAGTAGCTGGGATTACAGGTGCCTGACACCATGCCCAGCTATTTTTTTGGATTTTTAGTAGAGACAGGGTTTCACCATGTTGGCCAGGCTGGTCTTGAACCCCTGACCTCAGGTGATCCACCCCCCTCAGTCTCCCCAAAGTGCTGGGATTACAGGCATGAGCCATTGTGCCTGGCCTGTTTTTTTCTTTTATTCTGTTAATATGGTGTATATTTATTGATAATCATATTTTGAACCAACTTTACATTCCTGAGATAAATACCACTTGATCATAAAATTCTGTTCATATGCTGCTGGATTCAGTTTATTAGAATTTGAAGAGGACTTTTTACATCTATATTCACAAGGAATATTTGTCTATAGTTTCTTTGTGATATCTTTACTGCCTTTATATCAGGGTACTACTGGCCTTATAGAATGAGAAAGTTTTCCCACCTCTTGGTTTTTGATAATGAGTTTGAGAAGGATTAATGTTAATGATTGACGTTAATTCTTTAAATGTTGGTAGAATTCACCAGTAAAGCCATCTGGCCCTGTGTTTTTCTTTGGGGAAATTTTTTTTCATTACTGATTCAATGTCTTTTAAGTCTATTTAGATTTTGTTTCTTCTTGAGTCAGTTTCTGTAGTTTGTGTTTCTAGAAATTTGTTTATCTTTTTTTTTAAAGTCTGTTTCATTTATCTCCATTGAATCTACATTATTCTGCTTGCTTTGGATTTAGTATGTTTTTTTTTCTTCTCATTTCTTATGATTCAAAGTTAGGTTATTCATTTGGGATTATTCTTTAATGTAGGCATTTGTAGCTATAAATGTCTCTTTAAGCCTTGCTTTTGTAGATAAGTTCTGCCTTCATTGCTTGCCATAAGTTTTGGTATGTTTGTCTTCTTTTTCATTCAAAATGTTTGCTGATTTCTTCTTTGACCATTGACTGTTTAGGACAGTGTTGTTTAATTTCTACTTGTGAATTCCCCACCTTTCTTTGTTATTGATTTCTGGTTTTACTCCATTGTGATCAGAGAATATATTTTGTATTATTTCAATCCTTCATTTATGACCTTGCATATGATCTGTCCTTGAGAATTTTATGTGCATTTAAGACGAATGTGTATTCTGTTGCTGTTTGGAGTGTTCTCTATTGTGTTAGGTCTAGCTGGTTTATAATGTTGTTCAAGTCCTCTATTTCCTTATCAGTCTTTTGTCCAGTTTTTCTATGGCTATCAGAAGTGGATTATTGAAGTCTCCAGCTATTACTGTGGAACTATCTATTTCTCCATTGAAATCTGTCAGTTTTTTGCTTCATATATTTTAGGGCTCTGTTGTCAGTTGTGTGTATGTTCATAATTGTTATATCCTCTTCATGGATTGATCCTTTTATCAGTACAAAATCCTCTTTTTGTCTCTTGTAACAATTTTTAATGTAAAGTCTGTTTTGTCTGATATTAGGGTAACTACCCCAGCTCTCTTTTGGGTAACTATTTGCATGGAATACCTTTTTTATCCTTTTAATTTCTAACTCTTTGTGTCTTTGGATGTAAAGTAAGTCTCTTTTAGACATAACATAGATGGTCATTTTTTATAAGCTATTCTGCCCTCTCTGCCTTTTAATTGGCGAGTATAATCCATTTACATTTAATTTCATAAGAAAGGACTTACTTTCCCCGTGCTGTTTGCTTTCTTTATGTCATATCTTTTTTGTTTTTCATTTCTACTGCCTTCTTTGTATCTAATTGATTTTTTGTAGTGTACCAGTTTTATTCCCTTTTCATTTTTTTTTTAACATTTCATAGTTATTTTCTTACGGGTTACATTGAGGATTACAATTAATATCTTAAACATGTAACAGCCTGATATGAAATAAAACCAACTTAGCTTCAATAATATACAAACACTGTTGTTAATACATCTCTATTCTTCCCCTTAACTTTAATAATACACAAAAACTGTGGGTAGACATCTCCATCCCTTCCTCTTTAATTGTTATAGTCACAGATTACATCTTCATTTTGTCCCCACTAAAATAGATTTATAATTATTTTATGCATTCGTTTTTTAAATCAGATAAGGGAAAAGGGAAGAGTTACAAACCAGAAGTATAATAGGGACTTTATTTTTACCTATGTAATTGTCTTACCCTTATTTCTTATGCCTTATTTCTATGTATATGCCTTAAGCCTTATTTCTATGTATACTTCAAGGTATTGTCAAATGTCCTTTCATTTCACCTTGGAGTACTCTCTTTATCATTCCTTATAGGGAAGGTCTACTTGTAACAAATTTACTTTTGTTTATCTGGGAATGTCTTTAATTTCTCCTTTATTCTTTTTTTATTTATTTTTTTTTTTGAGACGGAGTCGTCCTGGGCTGTAGTGCAATGGCACAATCTAAGCTCACTGCAACCTCCACCTCCCGGGTTCCAGCAGTTCTCCTGCCTCGACCTCCCAAGTAGCTGAGATTACAGGTGCCTGCCACCATGCCTGGGTAATTTTTGTGTTTTTAGTAGAGATGGGGTTTCACCATGTTGGCCAGGCTGGTCTTAAACTCACGACCTCAGGTGATCCACCTGCCTTGACCTCCCAAAGTGCTGGGATTACAGGCATGAGCCACTGTACCTGGCCTTCTTTTTTTTTTCTTTTTAAGATGGAGTCTCACTCTGTCGCCCAGGCTGGAGTACAGTGGCGTGATCTTGGCTCACTGCAACCTCCACCTCCCGGGTTCAAGTGATTCTTCTGCCTCAGCCTCCTGAGTAGCTGGGATTACAGGTGCACACCACCACACCCAGCTAATTTTTGTATTTTAGTAGAGACGTGGTTTCACCGTGTTGGCCAGGCTGGTCTTGAACTCCTGACCTCAGGTGAGCCACCCACCTCGGCCTCCCAAAGTCTCCTTTATTCTTAAAGTTTTGCTGGAGGTAGATTTCTTGTCTTACACTTTTTATCTTTCATCATTTCAAATATGTCATTTCACTGCCTATTGTCTTCCATGGTTTCTGGTGAGAAATTAGCAATTAATTTTACCGAGGATCCCTTCTGTGCTCGCCCTTATTCTTACTGCTTTCAAGATTCTCTGTCTTTGGCTTTGACATTTTCATTATAACATGTCTCAGTGTGGCTCTCTTTCAGTTTATCCTACTAAGAGTTCATTGAGCTACTTCGATGTTTAGATTAATGTTTTCCCCTTATCAAGTTGGAGGAGTTTCCAACCATTATTTCTCCAAATATTCCTTCTGCCCCTTTCTTTCTCTCTTCTTTTGGGATTCCTAATATGCATCTGTTGGTAAGTTTGATGGTATCCTACAAGTCTCTTAAGCTCTGTTCATTTTTCTTCATTCTGTTTTCTTTCATTTTCTATTTTTTTAGAGTAGGGTTTCACACTATCCCAGACTGGAGTACAGTGATGTAATCATAGCTCACTGCGGCGTCGAACTCTGGGCTCAAGAAATCTTTCTGCCTCAGCTTTCCGAGTAGCTGGGACTACAAGGCATGCACCACCACACTCATCTCATTCTGTTTTCTTTCTGTCCCTCAGAGTACGTAATTTCATTTCACCTATCTTCACCTATCTTCAAGTTCACTGATCTTTCATCTGTGTGATCAAATCTGGTATTGGACTGCTCTAGTGAATTTTTCATTTTAGCTCTTGTACTTTTCAGCTTCATATTTTCTATTTGATTCCTCTTTGTCTTCATTGATATTCTCTTTGTTGAGACATTGTTCTCATTTCCTTTAGTTCTTTATCCATGGTTTCCTTTAGCTCTTTGAGCACATTTAAAACAGTTGATTTAAAGCTTTTGCCTAGTAAGTCTACTGTGTGTTCTTCCTAAGGGACAATTTCTATTTATTTCTCTCCTCTAACCCATGAATGGGCCATACTTTCTTGTTTCTTTTCATGCCTCATAATGTTATGTTAAAATTTTGACATTTTGAATATTATGATGTGATAACTCTGGACATCAGATTTTCCTCCCCTTCTCTAGGGTTTGTAGTTACTGCTTGTTGTAAGTTAAAGTTGTTGGTTTATTTAGTGACTTTTCTAAATTATGTTTGTAACGACTGTACTCTTTGTTGTTGTGTGATATTTCTGTTCCTTTAGCTTAGTAGCTGGCTACTTGTTTGATAGAGATTTTCTTAAATGCCTGGGGCCGAAAAAAGCAAAAGAAAAAAGAAAATTCCCCAAGTCTTTGCAGATTTTCTGCATTCGGACACTCCTTCAATGCTTAGCCAGGCCATTCACAACTCTCTGCCTTAGCCTTGCTTCCTACTTGTACTGAGCCTAAAGGTCAACCAGTGGTGAAAGTGTCTGGTCTTCTCAGGTCTTTTCTGAACATGCATCTTGCTCTGTGCATGCACTTTCTAGTTTCCCTGGTATACATGGGAAATTTTCCAAGCCCTTATGCCCCAAAGATTCTCAGTTTTTCTTTCCTGCTTTTAGTATGTCTATTGTTTCCCTTGAACTGTTAATTTTTGCTCCAGGCAGTAGTGCCTTGTTCATTTGGTTTTCAGTATTTTCAAGGAACATTCTTCCCCTATAAAACTACTTTTTCACTCTAAGAGAGTTATGTTAGGTGAAACTAAGGCAGGTCCCTTGTGTCAGTCCACGGCTAATACTCAGACATGTCAAAACAAACACAATTCCTTGGGAACAAGGTACTACTCCGTGCTGTCTTTGGGAGCAGGTACCTACATCAGGACCAAGGGCTGCCGTCTTTAAGACCACCATGCTGGGTAAGGGGATAGCAGAAGGCTAAGTTAAAATGCTACAAAGTTCTTCTACCTTGTGCTGATGGCCTTTCTCCTGGTTTAGCAAACACTTGGTTACTATAAACCTTTGACTATCTTCCAAAGTTCAGATAAGGTTGGCTTTGACAGTTTTCCGTATTTTTTGGTGTTTCTAGAGAAGGCACTTTCTCCCTTGGAGGTCTCTACTCTACCATTTTTGCTTGTCGTTCCCAGGTGGAGTTGTGTGTCCCTCTGACCATCAAAATAACTAGAGTGACATCAATTATTTTTTCTTTTTTTTTTTTTTGAGACGTAGTCTCTATTGCCCAGCCTGGAGTGCAGTGGCACAATCTCAGCTCACTGCAACCTCTGCCTCCTGGGTTCAAGCGATTCTTCTGCCTCAGCCTACCGAGTAGCTGGGACTACAGGTGTGCACCACCATGCTTGGCTAATTTTTGTATTTTAGTAGAGACAGGGTTTCACCACGTTGGTCAGGATGGTCTTGATCTCCTGACCTCGTGATCTGTCCGCCTTGGCCTCCCAAAATGCTGGGATTACAGGCGTGAGCCACTGTGCCCAGCCTGTGTTACATTTTTAATATCTTTGCCTTTGATTTTACTTCATCCAGTACAGTTTTTTTTAAATTTGCATTTGCACTATTGCTCTTTGCCCATCCTTTTAGCCTTTTGAGTCACTTTACTCAAGTGTTAGTAACATCTGAATTTAACTTTTTTCCCACCCAATCTGAAGGTCTCTCTTTTGAAACAAATTTATTCCATTTAAGTTTACTGTTGTAAATGTTTGGTTTAAATTTTATTATTTTGGCTTTTTTTCATTCTGATGTATTTATTAAATAAAGGTGTGTTCAACTAAATTTCATTTCAAAGTAAGGAGAGGGGTGAATTTCTTGTGCGTGGTAAAAAACACATACCAAAAAATTCCCTTCTTAACTGTTCTTAAGTGTACAAGTCAATAATGTTAAATGTATTCACACTATGTTGAAACCAATCTCCAGAACTTTTTCATATTGCAAACCTGAAACTCTATACCCATTGAACAACAACTGCCCTTGTCCCCGTCCCCCAGCTCCTGGTAACCACTATTCTGCTTCCTGTTTATGAATGATTACCTTAGATACCTCATATGAGTGTAATCATGCAGATTTGTCTTTTTGTGACTGACTTGTTTCACTTAGCATAAGATCTTAAAGATTCATCCATATAATCCATGTAGCATGTTATAGGATTTCCTCCCTTTTTAATTCTGTATGATATTCTACTGTTTACATATACCACATTTTGTTTTTCTGTTATTCATTGATGGACATTTGGGTTGTTTCCACCTTTTAGCTATGGTAAATAGTGCTGCTGTGAACATGGGTATGTAACTGTCTTTTTGAGACCTTGCTTTCAATTCTTTGGGATACATACCCAGAAGAAGGATTGCCAGATCATATATAGTAGTTCTATTTTTAACTTTTTGAGGAGCCTCAACACTGTTTTCCCTAGTGGTTGTGCCATTTTGCAATGCCACCAACAATGTACAAGGGTTCTAATTTCTTTACATCCTTACCAACACTTGTTTTTTTTTTTTATAGTAGCCATCCTCATGGGTGTGAGGTAATACTGTTTTGATTTGCATTGCTCTTATGCTTAGTGATACTGAGCATTTTTTTATATGCTTTTTGGCCATTTGTATGTCATCTTTAGAGAAATGTCTATTCAAGTCCACTTTTACTTTTTTTTTTTTTTAGAGGTGGGGTCTCACTGTTTTGTCCATCCTGGTCTCGAGCTCCTGGGCTCAAGCAGTCTTTCCCCATTGACCTCCGAAAGTGCTGGGATTATAGGCATGAGCCACCATACCTGGCCTGCCCATCTTTTAGTTAGGTATTTGATTTTTGTTGTTGTTGTTGCGACTGCTTTATATTTTCTGTATGTTAACCCCTTCTCAGATACATGATTTGTAAATATTTTCTCCCATTCAATAGGTTGTCTTTCACTCTGTTGATTGTGTCCCCTGATGTACAAGTTTTTAAGTTTAGTGTGGTCCTGTTTGTCTATTTTTGCTTTCGTTGCCTGTGATTTTGGTGTAATATTCAAAAAATTATTGCCACATTGAATGTCATGAAGCTTTTTCTGTAAGAGTTATATGGGTTTAGGTCTTACATTTAGGTCTTTAACCCATTTTGAGTTAATTTTTGTACATGGTATAAGATAAGGGTCCAATTTCATTCTTTTGCATGTGGATATCCAGTTATCCAAGCATCATTTGAAAGCTATCCTTTTCCCACTGAGTGGTCTTGGCACCCTCGTCAAAAATCATTTGAACATATATGCGAGAGTTTATTTCTGGGCATGTTTTCTTATTTCATTGGTCTGCTTGTTTGTCTTTATACTAATATCACACTATTTTGATTACTGTTCCTCTGGTAATATGTTTTCAAATCAGGAAGTGTGAATACTCCAACATTGTTCTTGTCTTTCAAAGTTGTTTTGGCTATTCAGGATTTCTTATCATTTTTAATGATTTCTTGCTATTTCCAATCTTTTTTGTTGATTGCTATGTAATGCATGTTTCTTCGAGTTGGTTTTTTGATAACTTAGCAACTATGTAATCTAATTAACTAATATGCTTCAACCACTTTCTCAATCTGTCAGTGTCAGATATGAAACTATCTATTGGCTCTATTATATGAAAAATTAAGAAACTGATTTTACTTCTTCCCACCTATCCCCCACATAATTTTCCCCAACTAACCAATAGTGGTTATATTTTGTGAATTTTGTCTCAGCTCATTTATAGTAGTAGTATTACTATATTGACTAGCTTCTGTTTCAAGAATTAGAACATTTTACTTACATTTTATAAGATCATGAGTTATTTTACATTAGTTGTATTTAAATATAGGGTCAGTATTTACCAGGAGTCTTTTCACATACCTATTTATGAGTTTGTTAATTTCAATCTGTTGTTTGACTAGACTGTTAAATGTTCAGGAGTGATCATCTTTTATGTTCTTGCAAATTTGAGACTATTACCTTTATGTACCAGAACAACAACTGAGTTGGATATAAAAGTTTTGATTAACAGTTCTTAATTCAAAACTGTTAATTTTGCTCCTCTTTTCTGGATTACCAGTATTTAATGTTTCATATGCTTGCTTGCTTTGTTTCTTTCTTTATTATTTCCATAGTTTGGAGGGAACAGGTGGTTTTTGGTTACATGGATAAGTTGTTTACTGGTGATTTCTGAGATTTTGGTGCACCCATCACCTGAGCAGTATACACTGCACCTAATGTGTAGTCTTTTATTCCTCACCCCGCTCCCACCCTTCCCCCCTAAGTTCCCAAATCCATTATATCATCCTTATTCCTTTGTATCCTCATAACTTAGCTCCCCGTTATAAATGAGAACATACAATATTTGATTTTCCATTCCTGAGTTACCTCACTTAGAAGAATGGTCTCCAACTCCACATTGCTGCAAATGCCATTATTTTATTCCTTTTTATGGCTGAGTAGTATTCCATGGTGTATATGTACCACATTTTCTTTATCTACACATTGGTTGATAGGCATTTAGGCTGCTTCCATGTTTTTGCAATTGCGAATCATGCTGCTATAAACATGCATGTGCAAGTATCTTTTTCATATAATGACATATTTTCCTCTGGGAAGATACCCAGTAGTGGGACTGCTGGATCAAATGGTAGTTCTACTTTTAGTTCTTTAAGGGATCTCCATACTGTTTTGCATAATGGTTATACTAGTTTACATTCCCACCAGCAGTGTAAAAATATTCCCTTTTCACCACGTCCACACCAACATCTATTTTTATTTTTTATTTTTTTATTTATGGCCATTCTTGCAGGAGTAATGTGGTATCTCATTGTGGTTTTAATTTGCATTTCCCTTACAATTAATGATGATGAGCTTTTTTTTTTTTTTTTTTTGAGACAGAGTCTCACTCTGTTGCCCAGGCTAGAGTGCAGTGGCATGGTCTTGGCTCACTGCAACCTCTGCTTCCCAGGTTCAAGAGATTCTTCTGCCTCAGCCTCCCAAGTAGCTGGGATTACAGGCAGGTGCCACCACGTCTGGCTAATTTTTTTGTATTTTTAGTAGAGATGGGGTTTCACTGTCTGAGCCAGGATGGTCTTGATCTCCTGACCTCGTGATCTGCCTACCTCAGCCTCCCAAAGTGCTGGGATTACAGGCATAAGCCACCACGCCTGGCCGATGATGATCATTTTTGCATACACTTCTTGGCCTTTTTTTTTTTTTTTCCCCGAGACGGAGTCTCGCTCTTGTTGCCCTGGCTGGAGTACAATGGCACAATCTCCACTCACTGCAACCACTGCATCCCGGGTTCAAGCAGTTCTTCTGCCTCAGCCTCTGGAGTAGCCGGGATTACAGGTGCCTACCACCACGCCTGGCCAATTTTTTGTATTTTTAGTATTTAATTTTTTGTATTTGTATTTTGTATTTTAGTAGTGGTTTCACCATGTTGGCCAGGCTGATCTTGAACTCCTGACCTCAAGTGATCCACCTGCCTCGGCCTCCCAAGATGCTGGGATTACAGACATGAACCATCGCACCTAGCCCATTTGTATATCTTCTTTTGAGAATTGTCTATTCTTGTCCTTTGCCCACTTTTTGTTGGGATTATTTGTTCTTTTCTTGATTTGTTTGAGTTCCTTGTAGATTCTGCATATTAGTCCGTTGTCGGATGCATGGTTTGCAAATAGTTTCTCCCATTTTGTGGGTTGTTTGCTGATTATTTCTTTTGATGTGCAGGGCCCATCTATTTATTTTTGTTTTTTGTTGCATTTACTTTTGGGTTCTTGGTCGTGAGCTCTTTGCCTAAGTCAATGTCTACAAGAGTTTTTCCAGTGTTATCTTACAGAATTGTTATGGTTTCAGGTCTTAGATTTAAGTCTTTAATCCATCTTGAGTTAATTTTTTTGTAAGGGTGAGAGATGAGGATCCAGTTTCATTCTCCTATATGTGGCTTGCTAATTATCCCAGGACCATTTGTTGAATAGGGTGTCCTTTCCTTACTTTATATTTTTGTTTGCTTTGTCAAAGATCAGTTGGCTGTAAGTATTTGGCTTTATTTCTGGGTTCTGTGTTCTGTTCCATTGGTCTTGGTGCCTATTTTTATACCAGTACCATGCTGTTTTGTTAACTATACCCTTGTAGTATAGTTTGAAGTCAGGTAATAAGGAGGCCTCCAGGTTTGTTCTTTTTGCTTAGTCATGCTTCGGCTGTGTGTGCTGTTTTTTGGTTCCATATGAATTTTAGGATTGTTTTTTCTAGTTCTGCAAAGAATGATGATGGTATTTTGATGGAAATTGCATTGAATATGTAGATTGCTTTTGGCAATATGGTCATTTTCACAATATTAATTCTAGCCATCCATGAGCATGGGATAGGTTTCCATTTGTTTGTGTCATCAATGATTTCTTTCAGCAGTGTGTTTCTCATTTTCCTTGTAGAGATCTTTCACCTCCTTGGTTAGGTATATTCCTAAGGTTTTGTGTTTTTTTTTGTTTGTTTGTTTATTTGTTTGTTTTGCAGTTGTTGTAAAAGGGATTGAGTTCTTGATTTGTTTCTCAGCTTGGTCTTTGTTGGTGCATAGCAGTGCTACTGATTTGTGTACATTGATTTTGTATCCTGTAACTTTACTGAATTCATGTGTCAGATCTAGGAACTTTTTGAATGAGTCTTTAGGATTTTCTAGGTATACAGTCATATCATCGGTGAACAGTGACAGTTTGACTTCCTATTTACCTGCTTGGGTGCTCTTTATTTTTTTCTCTTGTCTGATTGCTTTAGCTAGGACTTCGAGTACAGTGTTGAATAGCAGGGATGAAAGTGGGCATTCTTGTCTTGTTCCAGTTCTCAGGGGAAATCCTTTTAACCTTTTCCCCATTCAGTATAATTTTGGTGTGGGTTTGCCATAGATGGCTTTTATTACCTTAAGGTATGTCCTTTCTATGCCGATTTTGCTGAGGGTTTTAATTATAAAGTGATGCTGAATTTTGCCAGATGCTTTTTCTGCATCTTTTGAGATGATCATGTGATTTTTATTTTAAATTCTGTTTATGTGGTGTATCACATTTATTGACTTGTGCATGTTAAGCCATCCCTGCATCCCTGGTATGAAACCCACTTGACCATGGTGGATTATCTTTTTGATATGCTGTTGGATTTGGTTAGCTGGTATTTTGTTGAGGACTTTTGCATCTGTGTTCATCAGGGATATTGGTCTTTTGGTTCTTTGAAAAGATAAACAAAATTGGTAGACCATTAGTGAGATTAACCAAGAAAAGAAGAGAGAAGATCCAAGTAAACTCAATTAGAAACAAAATGGGAGATATTACAACCAATACCACAGAAATACAAAAGATCATTCAAAGCTATTATGAAAACCTTTACATGTACAAACTAGAAAATCTAGAGGAGATGATTAAATTCCTGGAAATATACAACCCTTCTATATTAAATCAGGAAGAAATAGGAACTCCGAACAGACCAATAACAAGTAGTGAGATTGAAACAGTAATTTAAAAAACTGCTAACAAAAAAAAGTCCAGGACCAGATGGATTCACAGCTGAATTCTATCAGACATTCAAAGAAGAATTGGTACAAATCCTACTGAAACAATTCCAAAAGATAAAGAGGGAATCCTCCTTAAATCATTATGTGAAACCAGTATCACCCTAATACCAAAACCAGGAAGGGACATAACAAAGAAACTGTTGACTCGCTCTTTCTGTGTTTCTCTCTGCCCCGTGCTGTCTCCCCTGCAGTCTCTGCAGTCCAGGCCCTCTTCTCTCTCTATGATCTCTTTGCACTCTGTCTGTTTCTCTGTTCTGTCTGCCTCTGCTCACCCACACGTGCACTTGTGCCCCACATGCCCCACCCTCGTTCTCTCTGGTTCCCACTGTGTCTGTTGTGTGTCTCTATTCTTCTTCTGATTACTCTTTCCTCCCCCACCCTTATCTCTTTAATGTTATTGCTATGTTTGTCTCTGTGCTTTCTCTGTGTGTTTTCACTCTTTTTCTTTCCTGTCTCCCTTCTGCAGTTCTGTTTCTTGGTGTCTGGTTGTCTTCTGGTGGGGGAGAAGGGATAGTTTACTATTGTCAGTACAAAAAGTGAAGAAAAAAGGTCATTCAGTAGTTTTCCTTTATGAAGAAAAAGCTGAAGATGGTGAATGATTTCTCTGTATTTTAGATCTCTCCTTATTTATATTAGCTCATGTTTCCAGCAGGTGGGCAAATAAACAACACAAGCAAACTACCAAACAGAGAGACCTCCATGAGAAAAGAAAATGAGAGCTTTATGTCCAACTAAATGTTTATTAATGTTTCATATATTTTTGTAAAATGGAGTTCATATCAGACTTTACATGCCTATATACGAAGAGAAATTACACTCAAAAGCAGCATCCTGAAATCCAAAGCGTAAATTTTTTTATACGTTTACAGAGAAAGAGTTAAGATATAAAACTATGTATACATATTATAATCCAAATATACATACCTATGTGTATATATATATACGTATACATATCAGTATCACCGGAACAAAATATATGTCATACATAGAACAAAAAACTGAAATTATTATAAAAATATGAATTATGATTTTTTCTTTTATATTTTTGTCTATTTTTTACAAGAATTATGTTCTAATAAGAAACCATAAAAGTTGTTTTTGTTTAACAATAATAGAATAAGGTAAGCCAGATTGATAAACACAAAAAGTTATAAGCTTAGAAGGTGAATTCCCAAATTTCTCATTGACTTCTATTTTGGGTGTAAAAGACCATTTTGAGCTTCCCAAACTAGTCATAATGAACCCTTCTAGAAGTATAGTGAAATAATAGGATTAGAGAACTAGTATACATGGTTTCTGTGTCATGATAAAGTACAGTTTTCTTTTAACTTCCAGTGCCAAGGGTTGAGTTAAATGTACTCCTCAGTTCATGACCCCTCTTTTTAAAATTTTATCACCATATGCCATCCTCATTTCTGTCTCCCCATAGGAAACCAGTCTTATGTAAATATCTTTCAGGTTACATGAGTTCTTACAAAATACATATTTTTTAAGTATGCATGAACTTTCATCATATATAAAAGGTGTACCATTATTTTTGTTATGTTGGCTAAGTTTTGTATTTTCAAAGTCTGCCTACATTGCTGTAAGTATATATCTACATTGCTGTAAGTATATCTAATCACATAATGCTCCATGGAGTGCATCTACCCACTTACGCATGAACACCCAGGAGCACCCAGGTTCCTGTCAGTTCCCCAGCACCACAGAACATGGCAGTGCTGTCTTTGTCCATGTCCCCTTATGCGTCTGTCTGAAACTGTCTTTAGCATATATACCCAGAAGTGGAATTCTTGGCTTACAGGCTCGTATACTTAATTTCCTACATTAGTACCAAATTGCTTTCCAGTTCATATTCCTACCTGCAGTGCATGAAAATTTCCATTTCTACTTCTCTGCCAATTATTTCTAATTTTTATCAGAACACTAGTAAAACAAGTTTCTATACCATGGGAAGATAGGTGTTTTTTTTTTTTCTTTTTAATGAGATGATACTTGTCTTGAACATCTAGAGTATCTCTTTAATTTCCGTGGGAAGAGAGTTTTTCATATAATTTACAGTGCTTTCAACCAGAATACATTCGTTTGTTCATTCATCCAAACATAATTATAGAATTGACAAAAGCACAGAGTGACATACTTTAATAAGCTTTTCTCAGATTTATATATATGAGTGAGAAAATATATGGAAAATTTTTATAACAATATTTAAAAACTTGATTTAAATATCTGGTAAAACTTCATTGTCAAAACACAGCATCCACATTTGTTCCAAATACCCATGGAATATTTACAAAATTAATTGTACGTTAGACAAAATATTGATGAATTCTCAAAGCAGAAGTTTTATAAGTAAGCCCATATTCTGTAACTGTAATGCAGTAAAATTGAACTTAACAACTATAATTTTTAATTTTGCTAATGCTTTAAATTGCATTTCTATTAGGTTTCAGATTTGCCATTTACATTTCTTACTTTGAGAATTACCTTTGTGTATCCTTTGCCTGTTTTTCTCTGAAGGTTTTTTTCCTATTCATTTTTGTAAACATATTTGGAGACCACTGTAGTTGCTGTTTTTTTAAATTCTGTTTTATTACTTTTTTTTTTTTTTTTTTTTTTGAGATGTCTCGCTCTGTCACCCAGGCTGGAGTGCAGTGGAAAGATCTCGGCTCACTGCAACCTCCACCTTGCGGGTTCAAGCGATTTTCCTGCCTCAGCCTCCTGAGTAGTTGGGATTACAGGTGCGCACCACCACGCCTGACTAATTTTTTTGTATTTTTAGTAGAGACGGGGTTTCACCATGTTGGTCAGGCTGGTCTGAAACTCCTGACCTTGTGATCTGCCCACAGCCTCCCAAAGTGCTGGAATTACAGGCGTGAGCCACCGCGCCCGGCCCCTTTTTTTTCTTTTTTAGAGATGTGGTCTTGCTATGTTGCCCAGGCTGATCTCAAACTCCTGGCCTCAACCAATCTTCCCACCTAAGCCTTCTGAGTAGCTGGGACTACAGGCATGTGCCACTGTGCCTGGCTTCCTATTGATTTTTAAGCTTAATTACATTGTGTTAATATTGGAATAAATAATATTGTTATGTATTTCTTTATTTCTGTGTTCATGCTAAAAAAGATCTTCCAACCTCAAGATTTGTTTTTAAAAAATTATCCTGCTTTACTTTTGATACTTTTTGAGGGATATGGAAGCTTTAAGCTTTAATTTAAGCTTAAGCTTTTAATCTACATGGAATTTATTTTTGTGTGTATAGGTATAAATTTATTTCCAAATGGTAGCTAGTTGCCAATAAAGATTTTTAAATAAAGTAATGTCAATAAATTAATTTATTAGAAAAATCTAATGTTCTTTTGTTAAGCTAGACTCCAATCAGTTAGAATTGGTAAATAATTGGCATGGTTCTTTTGAAATTTCCGTTCAAAACAACTGAAATAACATATGGACACCTTATAAAAATTGACAGACCTGAAGAGGAAATTAATTCTGACTGAAACATGAAGGAGTTTTATTTATTAAACTTGAAGTTGGATCAGATCATCCAAGTGAAAATATCTAACAAGCTAGATGGATCTGACCCCATGAGGATATCATGAGTGAGATGAAGATTTTAGAGTCATCCATGTAAAGGTGGTGGTAATTCTTATAGTTATTAAAGCCAAGAGGAAACATATTTGGGAGAATGCAAAGAATAAATAAATGTATAGGGCTACTTCCAGGCTGTAGTTTTTCAAAGCTGATAGAAAAACCTTTGGGAAACATGCTGTCTCGCTCTATCACCCTCTACAAAATTGTATGATCATTTGTCAACCTTCTGGTTTTCCTGTGAGTTAATTGAGTGTTTTAGCTCTTGATTCATTTTCTTTCTGTCCAACCCAAAGCCCTACCATTATCTGGGAAATTTTATTATCCCATTAGAGTTTTTTTTACCTTAGTTGTAATGATCATTGACTGTAATAATTTCCACTGCATTTTAGCCATACATTCTCTTAACTATTGTTTGAATTTTGGATTCACTCAAAATTATTTGTTCTCTGCAATCTTTACTTCTTCACATACCAAAATAAATTTTTCAAGAACCTGTTATGCAGGCACAGTACATTGTTAATTTTCTGAGGAAGATTTTCCATAGTTTTCTGATCAACCACACTGGCAGAAATAGATAACTAGTTCTAATTTCCAAAAGGTAAGTAATAGATAGTTACCACCTGAGTTTCTGCTTCTGCAACCTTTTTTCACTAGGAATTAAATGTATGTCACAGCATTATTTTTTGGACAGACACTTGGTCATTGTGTCACCCCTTGGTGATGAGTAAATTTTATTGAAAATATACTTGCTGTTTGATTGACACAGTTCTATAAACTTTTCACAAGAAAAGACAGTCTTTTGGTGCCATAGACTATATTTCTCATTTTGACTCTGACTGTTTTATCAATGTGTGTCTCTGGTCCTAAGCCTGAGTGATTATAAATGAATTAGCGTAAACCCATGCCTCTAAAGGAAAAGCATCTCCCAGCAGGCACCTGGCTAGCTGAAGGCCAGCAGTACCAATCCTCCTGCCTGAAGAATAGCAGTGTAGGGTCATATCAGAAAACATGGCCCTTTTCCTATGTTGGATATGTTTTTCTAAGATCAGTTTCCACCTAACAAGTAATTTTTTAATTGAAAAGCTTTTATTTCTAGGTCTGTCTCATGTCTTTAATAAATACGGGAATGAGTCTCATTTAGTTCTTAAGCTAAAGAGTACTACAAAAACCCTGAAACATCTCTGAGATGGTACATTTACTTTCCATTGTTACTCTTGTATAAGACAGCAACAGGTGAGTTTGCTCTCATAGTGGAAATTAAAACAGAAGCAGCCAGCCAGCATATATTTCCTTCCAAGATTGTGTACAAGAGAAAGCCTAACCCATGGTGGCTGATAATGCCATTTAATATATAGTCACCTAAATCTTTATGTGTCAGCTCCATTGCAGAGGACTCAGTGGGCTACTCCACACCCAAGCCTGAGGGATGAGGAGATCATTAGAGATGCGTGGGACTCTCCCACGGACTAAGGAAAGTGAACTGTTTTGGTTTACTGACCGCATATATAAATGGATTCAGGAAAAAAAAAAAAAAAAAGTTCCATCCCATGATGGGTCCTCAGCACAAATTGTGGGACATGAGTGCAGATGTGTGCATTGTGATTATTGTGAATCCGTGGATGGATTCAACATCACATGGCACGGTTCTGACAGTTTGTGCTTGGCCCAGCTTTAGAGTAGTGCTCCATCACTCCTATAGCATCCAGTGCCCACCTTTTTTTAGGATTGTTTGTTGTTTATTACATGAAGGCAACACTGTTTATCACTTTCCAAGGTTGATCTTTTTCTGATTTCGGTAACATAGGAGATGCAGAACTATAGAGTATAACCTTTTTTCTCCAAACAAGACTTCATAGTCCACATTTTTTTCAGTTGGCATACAATAAATAAGTGCATTTTATGCCTTTCTTGACATATTTTCCATGCCGTAAACTTTACCTGTTTAAAGTGTACAGTTTAATGGGTCTTGATTTAGTCACAGAATTGTGCAACCATCACCGTATTCTGATTTTAGAATATTTTAAACACCCTCCAAAAAAATCCTGTAAACATTAACAATCAATCTTCATTTCCCCAGCCTCCCACCTCTGCCACAGCCTGCAGGCAACCACTAATGACTTTCTGTTTCTATGGATTTGCCTATTCTGGACCTTTCATATAAATGGAATCACAGTCTTTCGTGACTGACTTCATTCACTTAACATAGTATTTTCAAGGTTCGTACACCTCATAGCATGTGCTCATTCCTTTTAATGGCCAAAGGACATTCCATTCTATGAATATACCACATTGTATCTATTCATCAGTTCATGGACATTTGTGTTGTTTCTGTTTTTTGTCTATTATGAACAAAACTGCTATGAATATTCATGTAGAAGTTTTTTTGAGGGCATATGTTTTCATTTCTCTTGGGTATATACCTAGGAGTGGAATTAATCATATGACAACTCTATGTTTAACCATTTGAGGAACTGCCAGACTTTTCCAAAATGACTGCACCATTTTACATTCCCACCAGCAGTATGTGAGGGTTCCAATTTTTCCACATCCTAGTGAACAGTTGTTTTTGTCTCTGTCTTTGATTGTCATCTTCCTACTGGGCTGGATAATTATATTGGGTTGAGAGAGAATTTATTCTTAGACTTTTCTATTTTTAAATGTTTACCTTTTTATAGGCAAGCATTACTAAATGAAAAAGAATTTGAAATGAAAACGGAAACATTCCAAGGCTCCTCATATAATCCAGTGTAATTGTGTGTTTTTTCACACCCTGTGGTGCACACCATGACTACTTGTGTCCTTTGGAAGTGCAGGATGTTCACAGAACCTCAGACTTGGAAGGGACCACTGGAGTCCTGTGAATCCTACCCACTCCCATCAACACTTCTGCTGCATCTGCACCAAATGACAGGCCACCCTCTAATAGCTCCACCTCTCACGTGCTACTTATGGGGCAGCCAGTTCCATTTGCCTAAGGCTTCAGTTATCAAAGGCTTTAACTTAAATCCAATATCTCCTTGCATTGGAATACCTGGCTCTGCTCCCAGAGCTGCTCTCTGAAGGCACAGGAAACAGACCTAGCCCTCTGCCTCTCGGACCCCCACCTCCTTTCCTGATGTGTTTTTTCTCAGGTCTTCACTCCATGAACCGTTCCACATGGGCTGTGGTATCTACTCTCCTTTCTGAGTTTGGCAGCTTTCCTGGGTATAAGTTTGTTGGTATCTTGTTTTTAAATATGTCCCTCTCAGCTAAGCTTGTTGTGCTTCAGGTAGTGAGAGCGTATTGACCAACACAACTTACCACCTTCCATTCAGTGACTGGACCATGTCTGTGGCCTAACGTATGTTATTCCTTTTGAACTCCTTAAATCTTTTCTGCCACACCCTTCCCCACAAGTTTTTGTTTATTCTCATTTCTTGAACTGGTAATACAGTACAACCACATGATACAAAATATTTGATCAAGAGTGTCCTTCCTACTCCTGTTCCCCAGCACCCAGCCCTCCTTCGCAGAGGTATACAATAAAATTTCATCCATTTTAAGTGTACAGTTAACTTTTAGTAAATTTACAGAGTTTTGCAATCATCACCAAAATCCAGTTTTAGAACATTTCTGTCGTTACCAAAAGGTGCCCTTGTACCTCTTTGCAGTCAATCCTTGTTCCCAGCCCCAGGCAACCTCTCATCTGCCTTCTGTCTCTTCTGGAGATTTTATGTATATAGCATCAGATGTGGTCTTTTGCATCTGCCTTTTTTTGTTAACATCATGATTTCAAGGTTCATCCGTGCTGTAGTATGCATCAGTGGTTCCTTTTTGTTGCTGAATAGTGTTCCATTTTATGGATATACCACATTTTGCTTATCTTTCAGTTGATGGACATTTGGATTGTTTGATTTTTTTGGATGTGAATGCTGCTATTAATACTTCTGTAAAAGTTTTGTGTGGGCATACATTTTCATTTCTTCTGGGTTTTTACTCAGGAGTGAAATTGGTAGGTCATATGATAGGTTTATGTTTAACTTTATCAGAAATTGCCTAAGTGTTTTCCAGAGTGGCTGTATCATTTTACATTCTCGCCTGCAATGTGTGAGGGTTTCGGTTTCTCCACTTCCTTGTCAACACTTGCTATTGTCCACCTTTTTATTTATAGCCATTCTAGTGGGTGTGAAGTGGTATCTTATTGTGAGTTTAATTTGAATTTCCCTAATGACTGATGATGTTGAACATTTTGTGTGCTTATTGGCCACTCTTACATCTTCTTTGATGAAGTGTCTTTTTAAATCTTTTTGCCCATTTTAAAATTAGGTTATCTTCCTACTGAGTTGAAAGAGCTCTCTATATACTCTGGTTACAAGTCCTTTATCAGATGTATTTTTTGTAAGTAACTTCTCCCAGGCTGTGGCTTTTGAATTGCAAATGGTTTTAATACAGTAATGATGAAGTCCCATTTAAACTGTTTGTCTTTTATGGATTGTGGATTGTACTTGGGGTGTTATATTCAAGAACTGTTTGCCTAACCAAAGTCATAGAGATATTCTCCTATGTTTTTCATTAAAAGTTTATTGTTTTAATTATTATGTTTAGGTCTGAAATCCATTTTTAGTGCATTTTTTGTGTACGGTGTGTTGTCTAACTTCATCTCTTTGCATAGGGATATTTAATTGTCCCAGCATCATTTGTTCAAAAGAGTATTATTTTCTCCAATTAGTTGCTTTGGCCCTTTTGTTGAACACTAATTGATCACATATGTAAGGCTTCATTTGGAATTTTCATTCTGTTCCATTGATATGTCTGTATCTTTTTTTTTTTTTTTTTCTTAAGACGGAGTCTCACTCTGTCATCAAGGCGGGAGTGCAGTGGCACAATCTCGGCACACTGCAACCTTTGCCTCCTGGGTTCAAGCGATTCTTCTGCTTCAGCCTTCCGAGTAGCTGGAACTACAGGTGCGTGCCACCACACCCAGCTAATTTTTGTATTTTTAGTAGAGACCGGGTTTCACCATATTGGCCAGGCTGGTCTCGAACTCCTGAGTTTGTCATCTGCCTGCCTTGGCCTCCCAAAGTGCTGGGATTACATGCATGAGTCACTGTGCCTGGCCAATCTAGATCTGTCCTTATATCAATGCCACAATGCCTTGATTGCTGTAACTTTATAAGATTTGAAATCAGGAAATATAAGCCCTCTACCTCTTTTTTTTTTTTTTTTTTCTTTTTTTTTTTTCAGTAACTTTGGCCCTTGTGGTCCTTGCCATTTCTATATAAAGTTGAGATCATTTTGTAGATTTCTTGAAAAATGCTTGCTGGAATTTTGATAGAGATTGTGTAGAATCAACAGATTAATTTGGGGATTATTGCCATCCTAACAATTTTGAGACTTCCAATCCATGTATGGTGAGTGTCTCACCATTTATATTGACTTCTGATGTCTCCCAGCAATGTTTTCTAGTTTTTAATGTGCAAACCTTGCACTTCTTTTGTTAACTTTATTCCTAAATATTTTATTCTTTTTGATGCTATTGTGAGTGAGATAGTTTTCTTAATTTTATTTTCAGGTTGTCACTTGCTAGAATGTAGATATACAATTGATTTTTTTATCTTATTGATCTTATATTCTGCAACCTGGGTAACCTTGGTTATTAGTTCTAGTTCTTTGAGGATTCCTTAGTATTTTCTACAAAGAAAATCATGTCATTTGTAAATAAAACCAGTTTTACCTCTTCCTTTCAATCTGGATTCTTTTCTTTCAGAGACATTTTATAAATAAAAAAGCAAACACCTACATATACTTTTTTAGTACCTAACATGCTTTCTTCCCCTTTTTTATAGCTGCAGAGAAGGTATAATGTATTTCATATCAGTCACTTCTTTTTTATGTTCCCTTTTTTAAGGAGAAAATAAAAATATATTTTTTAACATCATTTTAGTCTCTAGTTTTATATCAGTGTTTTATATTTTACCATCTAAATCATCTGTTATTTCTAAAATGCAGATTTCGTTTCCTTTTCTAGATGGGGAAACTGACACAAAGAGGTTATGGCTTGCCTAAATAGAGACCGCTAATAAAGGGAAGACCTGAAACTGGCCTAGCTGTTTGGAATCCTGACACAGAGCTTTTTTTTTTTTTTCCCTGCATCAAAGTTGCTGCCATTCCTCCTGCCTAATGAGCAGGACTTTACAATTGCCCCTACTAAACATGCTCTGATTTAGCCCATCATTCCTGTTATTATTTGGGATCCTGACAGAGGCCCTCTCTCTGATGAGTATTGTATGTAAATTCTCCTGCTTTCCATATCTAAGACATTTATGTCTAAAATCTTAAGAAGGAATAGCCAGCACCAAACCCAGTGATTGCACACAGTAATTGCTTAGTAAATATTTGTTGTCAAATGCAAGATGTACCACTCAGTAAAGACATCTGTTTTGAAATTATATTTGGATAAGGTTGGTTCAATCAGTTATGATTCTATCAACTTGTATTATCATCCAACCCATATAACTCCATCTTGCCCTCAAAGATGCTATTAAATGTTTTGGCATTTTGTTCAAATCTAGGTATGGTATGCTATGTATTCTTTTGGTTAGCCAGTAAAGTGACCTTATGTACTAGAGAAAACAAGGCTAACCTGGCAGGGCATGCTCTGCCTGCCTGACTGAGCCTGGCTTAAATCTGCTCATCTTTTTTTTCACCAGTTCCTTGCAAATTATCTGATTCGTGATGCATCCTAAATTTTACATGTCATCAGTGTTCAGCCCACTAGTTTGCAATGCCTACCTTTCCGAAAATCAAAGTATTTCCTTTCTTCAAGTGTCTAACATAGATCTTCCTCCCCAAAATTCTGTTACAAGTTTCTTTGTGACTCTGGAATATGGTTTATCTAGTTCAAGGGATCAGATATGCTCAGTTTCCTATCCTTACCCTGGCTTTAATTTACCTCCACCAGACCTGCCTAAGTAGAAAATTCCCTAACATTTATTCAAAATATAGATTACCAGACCCCTCCCCTAGAGATTCCAATTCATTATTCTGGGTTAGCCTCCCTCTGTCCTTATTAACGATGGAGATATTAACAATGAACAAGTTTAAGAAGCACTATTTTACACTATAGTATTTGTTCAGCTATATCTTGTTAATCATTTTGTCATCCACCGACATTCCACCATCAGCTGCAATCCCTGAAATTGCCTTCATTGCTCTACTTGCTCTGAACGTAATTTAAAAGGCCTTTGGGACTCTCTAATACTTTTTGCAATGCTCTACTCATCAGGACGTCTCACGAGCCTTGTAGGTCTTTGGTGTTTGTCTTAGTATACGTGTTTGAGTCAGCTCTTAATTGGAGAGCGCTCTCTTCAGTTCATCACTCTTTTTAGCTATCTCCAGGCCTCTTTATCTCACATGAAAATTATGTGCAGGTGTCACTTCAGAATTTCATTCTGAAGATGCATCAGACTAATGTTTGGCTAGCATTCTCTTCAGAGTTTTTCCAAGCCCAGTGAAAATAGCCAGGCTTTTTTTTGTCTTACCACCTTATAACAGCTTAAGTCCTATCCACCTACAACATTCTCCCTATCACAGATACAAGGCAGCAAGTTCACAGTATCTCAAGCTTCCTCCAAATGCATCTCAACAGTTTGAATTGGATTAGAAAGAGGACTTGTTGGCTTGCTTATCCTGTGGATAACTGTGACATTGACTGCAGGTAATAATAACAAGATCTCTTTTATTTTTCTAGGTAGCAAACCATGTGATTTCTTCTGACTCTATTTCCTCTTCTGCCAGTAGTTTCCTGAGCTCAAACTCTACTTTTTGCAACAAGCAGAATGTACACATGTTAAACAAGGGCATACAAGCAGGTAATTACTTGAATCTAAACTTTTTCATTGAAATACATTGAAATGGCTCTTAAACATGTAAGATACTCAACCTCAATCATAATAAAGGACATGAAGATAAAACTATATCCAACTGCCAATTTTCATCTTGTCAGATTGGCATAAATTCAAGTTTGATGGCAAGTTTGTGGGCAAGAGTGTAGGGAAGCGGGTTCCCTTGTATATTTCAGTGGGAGTAGAAGTTGATTCACTGTGAAAGGCAATTTGAAAGTTCCTATCAAAATTACTTTCACTCAGCATTTTTACTTTTGAAATGTCTGCTATAGATATACTATGAATATGTGGAATTTAACCTATAGATATACTTGCATATGTGCAAAATAGTGTACAAAATTAACCACTAAAACATTGTTTATAGCAGGAGATTAAAGTGAATTTAGGTGTTCCTCAGTAGCTGAATGATTACATAAATTATTGTATGTCTAGATAATGAATGAAATTCTACATAGAATGAGGAAGCTCTCTCTGTACTAACATGGAAAGATTTCCAAGGCATGTAATTGATTTTAAGAAAAGGTACAGAACAGTGTATAGCATACTACAATATGAATTTTTTTTAATAAAAGAAAGAAAGGAGGGAAGAGAATTGCTTAAATGTGCAAAACGAATTCTCTGGAACCATATGGGGTTGTGAACAGAATAAATGGAGACCAGAAGTGGGAAGGAGGATTTTTAGCTATTGCCTTTCTATACCTTTTGGTTTCATAAAATAAAAATAAATAAACTTTCATCTTGATTTGTTTCTTCCCCTCAAATCCTGTCTTCTGTCAGCCTCTTCCTTACCTGCGTGACTACCAAAAGGACTCTTAAGTATTTATTGTCTTTCTAACTTGGGATCAGAGTTGAAATCCTTTACCCTTTGAACCCATATTCATTCTTCTTTCCCTCTCATACCTAAAATGAGTTACAAATAAAACCCTTTCTTTTTTCTTTGCCCTCTTTTTCCCTCCTACTCTCCCCTGTCCTTCTTTCTCTTCCTCTCTCTTCGCATCCCTCCATCCCACACAAAGGGATTGTATTTTTGAAACATTAAAAAGGGTTCACGTACTCACTTGAATAAATCTGTCAACTCAGCCTCAAGGTTACTCCCAGAGACACCTATGATCCTTCCCCTCAGGTAACTTGGAGATTGTGAACGGTGCCAAAAAACACACTCGAGATGTTGGGATAACTTTCCCAACTCCAAGTTCCAGCGAGGCTAAATTGGAAGAGAACAGTGATGTGACTTCTTGGTCAGAAGAAAAACGTGAAGAGAAAATGCTCTTTACCGGTTATCCTGAGGACAGAAAGTTAAAAAAGAACAAGAAGAATTCCCATGAAGGTCAGTTTCTCATTCCAGATCTTGTAGTAGAGAAACTAGTGAATTTCAAGTCCCCTGCGATGCTGACTCTGTGTTTCCAAGTGACTCTATGTGGTCCCCACCTACCCCCAGCCACAACCTTGTCAGGTTTTCAGAGTCCAGCATGGCAGTTACACAGTCATCCCTGCAGCAAAACCAGACTCAAGGGCACCCTGTGGCCTCTGACAGCTGAGACCCCTGAGAACCTGTATTATATGCATATCCTGGATAAGAGCTGGGTGGGGCTGTAAAAAAGTGAAAAATCTGTGTTCCTTCTAAAAACTGTTTCCTGTAGGAGTTTCCTGGTTTGTTCCTGTGGAAAATGTGGAGTCTAGATCAAAGAAGGAAAACGTGCCTAACACTTGTGGCCCTGGCATCTCCTGGTTTGAACCAATAACCAAGACCAGACCCTGGAGGGAGCCACTGCGGGAGCAGAACTGTCAGGGGCAGCACCTGGACGGTCGGGGCTACCTGGCAGGCCCAGGCAGAGAGGCTGGCAGAGACCTACTGAGGCCATTTGTGAGAGCAACCCTTCAGGTGCAGTGACGTTGACTTAACTTTAATGCTACGTGTAGGGAGAAGAAGGGCAAGGCGCAGAGAAGCTGGCTCTGTGACTTGGTGAGCTGAGGTGTAGGCCTGAGACGCTCTTTTCCAGCACCTCCGCAGTTCACCTGTTTTCACGCACGAGGGTTGGGTTTCTCATCATCTGTCAAAGGCTGCCTTACTCCTAACCATAGATGGTGCATCACCGTCGGGATCTGGGGACAAGGCCGCAGGAGGGAGGATTTGCATCTCTGCTTATTGGGCCTGTGGGTCCCTGTGTGTGGAGGGCCCGGAGGCCTGACGCTTGTGCGGCCTCATGTGTGTTCCTCCATGTCCGTAGCTCCTGTTTCTGCTCCATGTCGGATTTAAAGGAAACCAGGTCTCTTCTGATGTGTCCCTTGGGGGATAAAGGAAATGTTATTAATGATGTATTTGTCTGAATAGATCTTTAAAATAGCACTGTGGGAAGAGCTGTATTGCACTGACATTTCAAAGAGTTGTAATCGCCATAGTCTTAGTTCCTGGCCTATGCTGAAGGCATGTCTTTGATCCCTGCGGTTTCCAAGCTGCAGCTCTCCCCCATAGAGAGATGTCAGAGGATTCTTCAACGCTAGATACTTTCTCGGCATTTGAATCAGACTTCCCCAAACCTCTTGGGCAGGTGGTGTGTCTCCAGGCATATGGAGAGTAGATTGCATCATTAATCTGAGGCTGGGCATTTTCTCTTTTTTTTTTCTTTTAGGAATCGCTTCAGTTTCACAGACCTGACTTCATCTCCCGCTCTGGGGAGCGGATAAAGCGCCTGAAGTTAATAGTCCAGGAGAGGAAGCTGCAGAGCATGTTACAGACCGAGCGGGATGCACTATTCAACATTGACAGGGAACGGCAGGGCCACCAGAATCGCATGTGCCCGCTGCCCAAGAGAGGTACGCCCTGCCCGTTCACTTTCCTGTGAGTGGAATAGAGAAGGCAAGGTCTGCTGCTCTGCTGCAGAGCCCTGCTAAAGGCCAGCCCAGGCCAGTTACCTGGGCAGACAGTGACCTTTTGCTTGCCAAGACTCAAACCTTCTTAGCTAGCAGAATCTCCCCAACTTAGCCGTCAGCACATTCATGATCCAAGTAAGCCCAGTTACTCTAAGCCCTGTCACTGCATCGTAAACCAGCTCTGTGTCTGTGAGCAAGTTAGTTCCAAAAGTATATTGATTTTTCCTGAAAAGATGGGGCTGATTCCAGGCTTGCCTACCTCTTAGGATGGTAATAATAATAATAATAAACACATAGTCCTTACATCTTGCCCAGGCACTGTTCACATTAGCGCTTACAGCACTCTCAGTAGGTACTATTAATATATCTACTTTATAGTGAGAAAACTGAATCAAAGGGAGATTAAGTACCTCTCCCAAGATGACATACCTAGTAAGTAAAAGCTAAGATTTGAACCCAGGTGTGCTCCTCTGGAGTCTGCATTCTTAACAATTATGATAAGCAGATCTTGATAAAATAATGAAAGCTGTGAAAACTACAAAGCACTACCTAATTCTTTTATCCAACTTTAGAAACCGGCCAGATTTTTAATTCAAAGCCTAGTCTTTGCTACAGAGTGTTAGGTCCTTAGGGCCTTAGGCTGCTGTCCCTGTTACCCTAGTCTTACACTGGCTTGCCTTGGTCATTGCTCCCCACTCAGTCTTGCCAGCTCAGGGTAGGGGCACCAAGTCCTAGCAGCTCCCTCTCCCAGCTCTTGCACCACACCCTCTGGGTTAAGTCACTGTCCACTGAAAACCCTTTCTTCTCTTGCCTAGTCTTCCTGGCTATCCAGAAGAACAAGCCTATCAGCAAGAAGGAAATGATTCAGAGGTCCAAACGGTAAGACCAAGAAAACAAGAGTACGTATACAAGTGTAAACCAGGCCACCAAGTGGTCGGGAGCTCTGGCTTGCACCCAGAATAAATGTATTATACTCAAGTTTAAACATTATGAGAAAGTTGTGAGAGTCATTTCTCACTTATGGCACTGAAAAAAAAAAAAGCACATCATGGTATGAATGACTCATATGCAAAAGATGAAAAACTTCTCACTAATTTGCATGTCTTAGGCTCCTCTTTATTAGAAACCTAAATGTAAATAAAGAATATTTTAGGCCAGGTACGGTGGCTCATGCCTGTAATCCCAGCACTTAGGGAGGCCGAGGTGTGCAGATCACATGAGGTTAGGAGTTCGAGACCAGCCTGGCCAACATGGTGAAACTCCATCTCTACTCAAAATACAAAAATTAGCTGGGTGTGGAGGCACACGCCTGTAATCCCAGCTACTCAGTAGGCTGAGCCGGGAGGATCTCTTGAACCTGGGAGGCAGAGGTTGCAGTGAGCTTAGATGGTGCCACTGTACTCCAGTCTGGGCGACAGAACGAGACTCCATCTCAAAAAAATTAAAAAAAAAGATTATTTTGAAATAAAATTAAATATGTATTTAGACCACATCTTTTATTCTAGCAATCCCATTTCTAGGAATTGATCCCATAGGGTGAGAAAGAACAGTGTTCTCCAGAACACAGTAAGTTAAACTTTTTTAAAAGATTAAAATTTCGAAGCATGTGAACACTGTTTCCATTTGTGGTCTTTAAAAATAAGTATTTGTGCCTATGTAGATGTGTGTACTTTTATATGCATAGAATATTTCTGGAAGACAGAAAAAACTGGTAATACTGATTGCCTTTGGAAAGGATAACAGTAGATTTTTTGACTTTTTATAATTTTTGAATTTTGTGCCATGATGAACGAACATTAGCTACTCGTTAATTAATTCATTTGAGTGTTGAATGTGGTGGTACATTTCTGTAATCCTACCTACTCAGGAGTCTTAGGTGAGAGAATCTCTTAAGCCCAGGAATTTGAGACTGCAGTGAGCTGTGATCACACCATTACGCTCCGGCCTGGGTAACAGACTGAAACTCTGTATTCAAAAAATAATAAATACAATTTTTAAAAATTAATTCATTTCAGATATTCATATATTGATCATGAGAATGCCAGAGAATAAGGTTGACTTTTTTAGGCATTCATTGGACACTTGCTTTAATAAGAATAGTTTCTTAGTTGGCATAATGCTTCTGAAGTAATGGTACTTTAAAATAATTTATCTCATGAACTTTAAGCATTCCTCTTGAAATCTTGTTTTTACTCTATCTAGTCAGCCCTTATAGGCAATCCAAAGGGATGCTTTGGATGCTTTAGTCCAGTGGTTCTCAGAGAGTGGTCTGTGGAGTCCTGGAAGTTGCTGAGACCCTTTCAGGCAATTTGCAAGCTCAAAACTAATTTCAGAATGACACCAGGATGTTCTGTGCCTTTTTTGCTGTGTTGGCTATTTGCACTGATGATGCAAGAGAAATGGGGAGGAGTAAAATCACTGGTGTCTTACCACTATTCAAGACAGTGGCACCAAACTGTAGTAGTCTAGTAGGCATTGTATCCTGCACAGCCTCCCGCCAGGAGTGTGATGGAAGAACAAGGAAGCAGTGTAAATGGAGGTACACGGGAAGCACTTCCTTTGCACCGTGAAGGATGATGACTGTTTTAAGGAAAAGCACTTATGCCATGGTTTGTGTCGTGAGCTGAACCAGCTGCCTTTTTCATGGAACATGACTTTTACTTGAAAGAGTAACTGACAGAAAACCAATTATTCTGACTTGTGTTTGTAGCAGACATTTTCTTGAAAATGAAGAAGTGGGTCTGTGACTTCAGGAAAATGTCTGACAGTATCTGTTGCCAAAGAAAATGTGAGTTTTCAAGCCAACAATAGAAATCTAGAAAACTTGTATTCACCTCCATGGGCTTGATGACCTCTTAGTACTTAGACCTTTCTGACGAGATAAGCGGTGGCATTAACAAATGTGATGTTTTTCATGTTATCTAAATACATTTGTCAACATTTGGAAGATCTGCACAACTCCCTGGACCAGGATTTTCCAAATGATTGTTGCTTTTTGTTACAAAATCAGGGAATAGATAGAAGATTCATTCAAATAATGAAAGATAGACTGATGGATTTTTATGTAACAGAATAGGAAAAGTTTATGACATGTTTTCAGATTCCACCTTGCAACTAATTTTTAAGAAGCTACCACTTGTCAGCCAGGCACAGTGGCTCACGCCTATAATCCCAACACTTTGGGAGTCCAAGGTGGGCAGATCACTTGAGGTCAGGAGTTCAAGCCTGGCCAACATGGTGAAAGACTTCTCTACTAAAACTACAAAAATTAGCTGGGCATGGTGGTGGGTACCTGTAATCCCAGCTACTCTGGAGGCTGAGGCAGGAGAATTGCCTGAGCCTGGGAGGCAGAGGTTGCAGTGAGCCAAGATCGCGCCACTGCACACCAGCCTGGGCAACAAGTGCGAAACTCTGTCTCAAAAAAAAAAAAAGAAAGAAAAGAAACTATCACTTATCAAGTTTGGGTGTAGTATCAAAGAAGATCAAGAGTTACCTGAAAAGAGTATTGCAGTAACTTCTCTCGTTTCCAAGTACGTGGAAAATCTATATGTAAGCTGGATTTTTTAATGTATACTTTAACCAGAGCAGGTTGGGACAGCAGACTTAATACAGAAGCAGATACAAGTCCAGCTGTCTTCCATTAAACCAGACATTAAAGAGTTTTCTAAAAAATGTAAACAGTGCCACTCTTCTCACTAACATTTTTTTGTTTTCAAAAAGTCTTTATTTCCCATTAAAAATACAGGTTTCTTATGTTAGCCTGTCACAGGCTTATTGTTATTTCAAGTGAATAAAAAAATAAAGTTTTGCTTAATTTTTAATTTTAATTTTTGATACAGTATCAATAGATAAAACCTACATTGGGATCTTCAGCATTTGGGAGTGTGAAGGGGGCCCTAAGTCTAAAATATTTTTGAACCACTGCTTCATTCTAACTCAGTCACAAAATGGAATTAGGGGAAATCATACAGGGTTTGTTGTGGGGCAGCTACTAATACTCTCACCTCAGCAAGAGCAGTCCCTGCTGTAAGGGACTAGGAAGCTTGCCTACAGGAAGACAGCCAGGACATCTCCTAAAATGTATCAATGCTTTCGACGAGAAATATATGAGTGGATTTAGTGCCCATCTTCTGGAGAGACTTTTTAAACTGTTTTTAAACTGGTACATTTTCATTAGGTTGCTTCTGTTCATGTTTATTTCTTGTGTGGCCTCTTTTCAAGGGAGTGATCTGTTTCCATCTGAGAATCTTCAATATCATCTAGTAACTCTTAATATTTAGGAAACTACAACCCAGAGAGGGGAAGTAACCCAGCAAGTTAGGGTCACAGCTGGAGTTAGAGCCTGGTGTTTGGCCTTCAATTGTGTCCTATTAAGGATTTGTGTCTCTGGAGCCTGTGTTACTCATCTTTTGTTATCACCTATCTCTACCAAAGATATTTAAAGGTTCCCGTGAGAAGGAAAGATTTCAAGAGGAAAGAACATAGCTCTTTTATTTGGAAGCACTTGTTCCAGAGTGGCCTTCAGGAGACACCTTCACCTTCTCTAATGTGTTTCCCGCAGAGCCCTCCATGAATCTAGTGATTTTTTTTCCAGATTATAGAAAACTTTAGGAAATATAGAGAAAAGTAGAAAAAAGAAAATGAATATCACTTATCATCCTTCCATCTAATGGAGGATGGGAATTTTTGGTGGGAGGCGTGGGAATTTTGCAGAGACCTGCATAACACACACTTTTTTCCCTCAAATTGTTAATCATACTGCATATACAGGTTTGTGTCTTGCTTTATTTTATTCAACATTATGTTGTGAACCTTTCCTATGACACTAAAAATTCTGAAACTTTTGTTTGGTATACATGAAACATACTTGTAACATATACATTCCATTATACTTCATAATCTATTTAACTGTTGTTTTGTTGGAAACGTATTTACAATGAGAGTGCATTTATCAAATGCACATTTGTGTTTCTCCCAACTTAAAATCATTGCCACCCAACCCCTGCTAGAACAGATCCCATGTTTTTCACATGGCCACAAGATCCTCTCTGCAGCCCACCTCACCCTCACCCCCATCTGTTTCCCACCTATTCCTTTACGCTCCTTTTTGGGAAGCCTCGAGTCCATTTTTACCAACACTCATTTTCCCCACCTTGAGTGTCTTCTGTCCTTCTCCCCATTCCCTTTCTGCTCTTATCCATCATTATTATTTTTTTATTATTATTATTATTTTTGAGATGGAGTCTCACTTTATCACCCAGCTGTAGTGCAGCAGTGGCTTGATCTTGGCTCAGTGCAACCTCTGCCACCCAGGTTCAAGCGATTCTCCTGCCTCAGCCTCCTGAGTAGCTGAGATTACAGGCATCTGCCACCATGCCCACCTAATTTTTTTTTTTTTTTTTTGGTGTGTGTGGTTTTAGTAGAGACGGGCTTTCACCATCTTGGCCAGGCTGCTCTTGAACTCCTGACCTCGTGATCCACCCACCTCAGCCTCCCAAAGTGCTGGGTTTACAGGCTTCAGCCACTGCACCCAGCGCTCCTATCTATTCTTAAGACCCAACTTACCTATAATTTCCTCTCTGGAGCCTTTCCGAACCTCCTTCCACCAGACCAAGTTTCTTCTCCTCTAGAACATTTTATAGGTGTGACCATTTTAGTACTTTTCCATAATTTCACTTGTGTTTCCAAACACAATAGTAACGCTGTTCATTATCTTATATTGAAACAGTCCATTTTTGCATGTAGAGCAGAAAGTAGAAGTTCAGCTCTCCTTCATTTATCTCACTCCTTTCCCCCCTTTATCCCACTTCTTTCCACATGTAAGCACTATTAGGATTTTATTGTGTTTGTATTTATCTCCCCTTCCAGATTGTGAGCCCCGGGCTAGGGTTTTCTGTGCTGGAGTATCTAACGGGGCCCAGGGCCTTTCTGAGAGGGATGAGCTCCTGGAGAGTGGGAGGTATAGGGAGGGATGATGAGAGGAGATCTCATGACTCTGCACCCTGGTAACCTCCCCGATTTCTGTCCTTTCACTGGTGCCATTTCTAAGGATTTATGAGCAGCTTCCAGAAGTACAGAAAAAGAGAGAAGAAGAGAAGAGAAAATCAGAATATAAGTCATACCGGCTGCGAGCCCAGCTATATAAAAAGGTCAGTGGGTCCTCTGTCTAGAGTGGGATGGATCAGGTTTATTGGCGGAAAGAGAAATGGAGAAAACACGTTGCCTGTTGAGTGTGAAGTCAGAATGAACCGCATTTGAGGAATGAACTTAGAATGCACTGGACCAGTGTTGAAATTTGGAAGAAGGCATCTGTAATTAGACTTCAAATCAGGTTTAACTCCCCATCCATAATGGTGTAAGGCCCTTTCCATGCATTCGTTTGCAGTGAAACCAAATTTCACACACAGGAGTTCATTGACATATCATGGTAGAAATACCAGAATTATCAGGTTTCCATTCCAGAGTCCCAGGTGGTGATTTCATGCCCCTCATTGGTGAGTCAGATACCTTTAGAACTGTTAAACTGGAAAATGTGTAACTGCGGCATAAGAGTTGTCCACTTGGATGGTCAGAGGCCTCCAACTTGTCACCATGCCCTGCCCATTGTCCCAGTAGAGTCAGCGTTGCTGCAAGTCCAAGAACCTCACGGGGCAGGGTTGGTGTTACCAGTTAATTCTCTGAGAAACCAGACCGGCTCCTATGCCTGAAGGGCCATATACTTCACTGTAGTTGTTTCCTTCTCACCCTGTCAGTCACCAGACTGATGTGGGATGGGAGCTGCTTCTGGAGCAGGCCCCAGAACCCAGGCGGGTGCCTCAGGTGGAGGCCCCAGGCACCACACCACCTGTCTGGTGTGTCAGCATCGCAGGGCCAGGCCTCTCCTTATGCTACTGTATGTGGGAACTGATGGATTATCTGTGTCTCTATAGAAATAATAGATATTGATTACAGATCCTCTTTCCTGAACCTTTCGTGAAGTATTTTTTATATGACGACCATAGTTTCTGAAGCAGAGTAAAATGAACAAGATTTGAATAGGACCACACTGATTCTCCTTGGTGACATGGATGCAGGGAGGAGAGGCATCTGCCTCTGATGGCAGTAATATCTAACTTCTTTCCTGCCTTTCTTTTCTTCTACAGAGAGTGACCAATCAACTTCTGGGGAGAAAAGTTCCCTGGGACTGACACAAGTTTATTTTCCTCAGAGCCTTGGAATTCTATTTTATGAACCTAGAGAAGCAGAATCCTTACTTTTGTGAGTCTGGTTGAATAAAGCTTATTCTTTGTCCATGTGTATTTTAGAAATAGTAACTTCTAAAGAGTCTGGAACAAAGTGGTGATTAAAATTCCTAATGGTTTGGGAGCAATACTTTCTGCATAGTGGCCTTGTCCAATGGCCTGTGTGTTACAATGATATGATCATTTCTCAAGAATAAGTCCCTTTTTGTATGTGTTTTTATACTTTTAGAAAATAAAAACTTTAGATTAACTCATAGTAAACAATTCTTTCCCATCTGGAGAGATGCAAGGAGCTATGCATTGTCTCCACCGAGGTGTCTAAATGCATCAGTTGAGGGAAATGGGCTCTTAGAAGGAAATGTAGCCTGTATCTTTAGAAACACAATGTGCTGTAGTGGGAGCACTGTTGTGGGCTTTGAGGAGACGGTGTCTGGTTAGATGCCCACCGGGTGCACCCAGAGACTGCAGCAGGAGAGGTGTCTTGGGTCCAGAGCCTCCTTTCAGCCCCAGTCCAGCTCCCCCAGGGACTCTCTGTGTAGGCTGGGGAGAAAGGCCACTAGCCTTGGCTGATGGATCTTCCTCCACCCACACTCGGTTTTGGGATTAAAGCCTCAGACCATTTATCATTACACGTGAAACCAACACTTACAACATAAAGGACAACTTGTGAAAAAGATGAGTCAATGAATGAGATAAAGCATTTAACCCAGTAACTGGATCAGAATGTAACAGGATTTTTTTTTTTTTTTTCATGTGGCCTGGAATTATAGCTAAGGCCCAAAGTAATGGAGGAAGGTTTTCAACAGCCTCACTCTAAGTTCAGCAAACCCCAGTACAAAGATTGGCAAGGGCCAGTCATCCACCGAGAAGGCTTCCTGGGAGGCTGGATCCAAGAGCAGGCCCTGCCCTCAAGCACGGTTCAGAGCTTTCAGATCCTGCCCCCTGGGCTCCCTGCCATGAAGAGGACACTGGGAAAAGAACCCATGGTGCATGAGGTCAACTCATAGTTCTTCCCTTTCTTGCTGGGCAAGGTAATGAAGCACTTTTGGCCAATTTACCTGTAAAATGAGAGGGTTAATACCTCTAAGCCCCTCTTTACATAAACTCTAAAACAATGTGACTATTTCCACCTCTTGTGAGACATTATTATTCAGAATAGAAACAAATTGTTGTCTCAAACCTGGGTCTGCAAAGAACCCAGGGCAAGATGGAGTCTGATGAGGAATGATGAGCATGATTCTCTCTAGGCCCAAGGCTGTGGCATCCAGACACCTTCCAAGGGCAGTTAGATTTGGTCCTGGGAGGCCCAGGTGGCAGGTGCCAGCCAGCTCCTCCCATTCCCAGCCAGGGCGCACCTCCTCAGGAGAACTTGTTAGCATCTTCACTGGGTTCCTTTAAACCAGAAATCTATGGACTTGCTTTCACATTATAACAGTATTCCCCCAGGCCACCAGCCATGGGCATGTTCCCAAGGCAATGTCAACGCACAGAAGGTGGCAGGAAGGGGACATATTGTGGAGAGTCTCACAACTGCAGTCTACCTGCTTGTCCTATGCCAGGAGACCTTTGGCTGAGTGCAGGCTGAAGAATCCAGGCATCAACCTCACAATCCCAGGGACTCCCTCAGTGTCCGTTCTGCCCCAGAGCTCAGGATGGCTTCCCACACTGCACAGTTCTGTGGGGGCTGAGAGCACCTGCTACAAACCACAGAGTCACTACCTCGTGCAGCCACTCCTGCAGCCATCAGACCTCCCTGTGTGTGGGAGGACCTTGAGCCTCTTATTTTGTTTTGGTTTGGTTTTTGTTCTTGCACAGGTGCGGGAAGCCCAAGCGGAGCCTGCATCATTGCCCCTGGTTCTTAACTGTGGTGGGATTCACTTTTGAATTGCTTCATCCTAGGCCTAGATCATACCTAACCTGGGAAGCTCCGCCCTCTTCCCTCCTGGAGGTGAGACTCCGGCCTATTCAGTCAGTCCTCTTCCCTGAGGGCAGCTTCTGTTTCAGCCCCTCCCAGCAAAGACCACCAGTGCAAGTATTTTCAGGGGAGAGAATATATGAAGAAAGCAGTCTTTTAACTGTAAATCACAATGTGTTTTGTATGTTCCCAATGAGTGTTTGGAATGATCAAATGAATGATTGTTTGGAACATTGTCTGGATGTTATCAAAACAAAAACAAACCAGGATTTATACCCCTGGCAAGTAACAAATGACTTTCCATGAGAATGCAGGTTTTGACCAAAGGAGTTTTATTACTTCTCACAAGTAAGGAGGGCACTGGGAGTGTTCTCCAAAGCAATGTTTCCTGAGAGAAAATGACAGGAGGACTTTATGTGGTGTTGGAGAGGGGAGAGGGTGCATCATCGCATGTAGAGGAGGGTTCCCAGTGGCACAGATGCAGTGAGTCATGGTGCCAGCACATAGGTTGCATGTTATGGTAATGAATCTACAGGTCTCCTGAGGTGCAGGCTTTAGCTTGGTCATGAGGAAAGTTCACTGGGGTTCATCTGTAAGTTGTCAGGGTCTTTCAGGAGCTGGTTCCAACCAACTAGGTGACCACATTTCACACAGGGTTTGGGATAAAACTGGCTTCAAGGCAAGAGGCTGTAAAACAGGCTGACTGCTTGAATTGACAAAATTCCTATACTCCCTGGATTCCCTCCCTGTTGGCCTACAAATTTCCTTCCCTGGAGATATGTCACTCCTCATTCTTGAGAGGTCCTTCTTCTGTAACTTCATGCTGATTAGGGATGCCGTGTCCAGAGATATTAGGGGAGTGAAAATCTCTAGACACTAAATCTAAATGTGTTTTGAGGTCTCCCAAGATAGGCTGCAAAGGCTGGTATTGTTGGAAGCTGCAGTTGTAATTTTTCTAATCTGGAAGATACAAATTTTACCAAGAGATTTAAGATCCAGGGACCAAACAACAGTAGTACAAACAATAAAGTTAGTAGTTCTACTAGGGGCAGAATATTACCAAGTAATTGGTATTGCCCATTTGATAGCTTCCCAAATAGTCAGAACTATGGCCCTGTGGATTAAAAGCCGTGTAACCAAGAGGCTTGGGCATAGACCTTCTTAATGTCAACTTCTATTTCCCCTGAGGTGTTTACTCAGGGACAGCAAGAGGAATTAGTAACTGCACACACTCCTCCCTGTTCCACTAAAAGATTGTCTAATACTGTACCATTACCTAGCACCACAGTAACCAAGGAGTCAACTGAGGATGCTAAAGACTCAAGTTTTCTAGTCAAGTTTTTTACGGTGGTTTCATGATAAGCAAATCCCCAAAGAGCAGCCATCCTGGATGCTGCTCCCATCTCCCCCAAAATTAAACTCCTTGCTCTTTTTTTTTTTTTGAGTTGGAGTCTCGCTCTGTCACCCTGTCTGGATTGCAGTGGCGGGATCTCAGCTCACTGCAAGCTCTGCCTCCCGGGATCACGCCATTCTCCTGCTTCAGCCTTCTGAGTAGCTGGGACCACAGGCGTCCACCACCATGCCCGGCTAATTTTTTGTATTGTTAGTAGAGACGGGGTTTCACCATGATCGAGCCAGGATGGTCTCGATCTCCTGACCTCGGGATCCGCCCACTTTGGCCTCCCAAAGTGCTGGGATTACAGGCGTGAGCCACTGCGCCCAGCGCCAACTCATTTCTCTTTTTGACCTGACTTGTAGTAGACCCGCCTCAACAGCCTCAATATCAGAGGCTCTCGCAGGCCAATTGTACATTGTCCTTCCATCCAAACGTCCTCCGTGCAGGGATGAGCGATGTCAAGTGGGGTAAAGGGAAGGAACCTCAAGGCAAACAGGCGTGGGGTAGATATTTGTGGGGGACCCACAGATGAACACATTCCCCCTGAGGGGCACATACTCATTTGGGGATAAAGATATTTAGCTGTACACAGTGGCTGATACCTGTAATCCCAGCACTTGGGGAGGCCGAGGCAGGCAGATCACTTGAGGTCAGGAGTTCGAGACCAACCTGGCCAACATGGTGAAACCCCGTCTCTACTAAAAATAAAAAAATTAGCCAGGCGTGGTGGTGTGCACCTGGAATCCCAGCTACTCAGGAGGCTGAGACAGGAGAATCGCTTGAACCCAGGAGGCGGAGGTTGCAGTGAGCTGAGATTGCGCCTCTACACTCTAGCCTGGGTGACAGAGCAAGACTCCGTCTCAAAAAAAAAAAAAAAAAAGACATTTAATAGTGGTGCTATTTGGCTCCAGGTGCCATTAGTTTTACATAAAGGGAGACCGGCCCACCCCGCAGGTGGTCCCTGTCCCTGCAGTCAGCTGAGACATTATTCTTATAAGGTGTTGGCCTGTTTACCTGGGTGTACCAGAAACTGGGGCTTGGTATTCCTCACCATGAACTGCATTTACTGCTCTGTCCTCAATATTTTTTAGTGATGTTCATGTCAGGACACCAGTAAGTAATATTGGGGTGGCAGGTGGTAGGTAGTGTTCAAGGAGACCGGTTACCTCCCTTTTGTGTCTGGTCCTGTGTCAGTGTAGTAAGTCTGCCCTGGAGGAATTGCACAGCTTCTGCATACTTGCTGTATAGCTGAGCCATTTAGCAAGGTTGACACCTAGGTGGCATTTGCTATAGAGATGCTAGTCAAGGTGATGCAAGGGATTTCCCCACTCTCCAGGAAGAGCGTAACCACAGGGAAGGGGAGCTTGCTCCAGTTCTGTGGGTGAAAGTGAAATGTGAAGATTGCCACAAGTTCTGTCACTTGGGCAGACCAAGTTCATGGGTGCCTATAGCATATCCAGCATTGGAACAGGCTATTTCCCTTCACTGTGATGTGGGGAAAACTGACTATTGTATTGTCTTCCCGGAGACCACTGGCCATGGTAATAAAAGGGACTAACCAGTAGAGAGAGACCAAGTTCATTGTATATACTACATGGTGATTTAGCACCAGTTAAGAGTTTTTACAGAATGTAAAAGAGCATAGAGATTCCTCTAAGAATGAAGAAATTCCTGATACATCGAGAGCATTGCAAGGGCACATTTTACTTATCTATGTCCTTTCTCTGGAAGAGGAGCTTAAGATCAGAGGCCAGTTCATAGGAATAAGTTGGATCTAATGAAGCCTGGTCTGAGGGCGCTGGTGCAGGCTTCATTCAGGAATGACAGATCCAGGGTGTGAGTCCCTGCAATTTAAGAGAAGAATGAGTGGTTATCACCACAGGGTAGGGCCCAGTCCAGACAGGATTTAGCTGGTCTTGAGGTGATTTAGATTTCCAAGTCTTAAGGTGACCTCAGTCTCAAGGTTGATATAGGTGAAGCTTAACATCAGTGGGAACTGGAAGACAGGTTCACATATTAGATTGAGAGCTTGTGTTAGTTTTCCTAAATACACAATATGTTTTACATCCCTCTCAGTCTCACCATCAGGGCATGTCAAAGGTTCCATTGTGCCAGGGTAAGCTCTTCCATATAGTAATTCAAAAGGGCTAAGTCTCACTTTCCCTTTTGGTGCCAGCTGAAGTCATGTTAGTGTGATGGAGAGGCACTTCAGCCAGCTTTCATGAGTTTCCTGGCATGGTTTAGCTAAAGTGACCTTTATGGTTCTATTAGTATCTTTGTCCTTTTCAGATGACTGGGGCCTCCAGTCTGCATGTAGTCTCCATTTGATTTCCAAGGCAGAGAATACCCCCTGGCTAACTTTGGAAATGAAGGCAGCTCCATTGTCACTCTGGATCAATCAAGGTAAGCCACACTTCAAGAGGATGTCTTTAAGTAAAGCTCTGGCATCATTTGCCTTTTCTGTGTGACAAGGTAAGGCTTCTATCCAGCCAGTAAAGGTGTCCACACAAACCAGCTGGTACATGAGGTTTCCAGGTGCCTGGAGCATCACTGTAAAGTCTATTTGCCATTCTTCTCCTGGTATGCCCGCCTCCGCCCCTTAGTTGAGGCACAGAGAGCCTGGTCTGAGCATTATTCTGTACATATTTGTGGCACTTGTTAGAGATTTAGTCTATTTGACCACTTGGATCGGGTACCTTTATTACACTCATCAACCAATTGTGTAAGGTTTTGATATGGTTAGGCTTTGCGTCCCCACCCAAATCTCATCTTGAATTGTAATCCTCGTAATCCCCACGTGCCTAGGGAGAGACCTGTGTAGATGATTGAATCATGGGGGAGGTTTCTCCCATACTGTTCTCGTGATAGTGAATTCTCACAAGATCTGATGGATTTATGAGGGGCTCTTTCCCCTTCGCTCCTCACTCTTCTCTCTCCTGCCGCTGCCGTGTGAGAAAGCCTAAGCTTGCCTCCCGGTTGCCTTCTGCCATGATTGTAAGTTTCCTGAGGCCTCCCCAGCCATGCGGAACTGTGAGTCCATTAAACCTCTTTCCTTTATAAATTACCCAGTCTCAAGTATTTCTTTACAGCAGTGTGAGAACAGATACCAAAATGTGATGATTCATGGACATATTTAATTACAGCCCAGCCTAGGTTTTCTGGAATCTGGAGTCTTCCTTTGTCATTGATAGCTCATCCTTCCAAATCCAAATGTGGGAGATACCTTTCCCATTTGGATTTTTCTAATTTCTGAGTAGTAGGGCCAAAACTTGTGGAGTGACAAATCTGGGGATCAGGGTCATTTGCAAACTTTGAACTGTTCATGCTGCCTTCTTAGCAGCTGTGTCTGCTAGGTTATTTCCTTTTATAACCTCAGAATTCCCCTCTGGTGTCCCCAGCAGTGGACCGCCACTAACCTTTTAGGTAACTGTACTACCTGTAACAGCTGTAATATTTCTTATGCACGCCTTATCTCCTTATTGTCCACAGTCATGGTTCCAAGGGGGATAATCCCAGAGGCATACTTCTCATCTCTCTAGGAATGGGGATGGATTTTCATTAGGGTCTTGTTCTGTTTCCTGGAGTTTTCCCCAATTGATTGGCTTACTTCCCTCATGCCTCTGAGTAGCATATTGCTACAATGATCCCTGTTATCACTGGAGTCCCAGTTTGGGTCGGCTGTTGGGACTGACACCTCAGCAGCCAAGTAGATTTGGTAGCCCATGTTATCAGCCTACATTTTGTCTGCCTCTTCCTTAGCTTTGCCCGTGATGGTAGATTTCTTTTCCACCACGAGCAGAGTTGCCATTAAGGTCTGCATGTCTGACCAGGTGAGGTTATGTGTGAAGAATATTCCCCTTCTGAGAGTTCTGAACTCTCATGGGCTCACTGGTAAGCCTTTAATATTGGATTTCTCATTGTACAAATCAGTAGTTGTAAGAGGTACATAGACCCAAACAAAACCTCCCTCTCCATCACACACCTGCCTGGGTGGGAACCATCCCACTCTGGGGTTCCCTCTCAGGGAACTTGTTATGCTGGTAACTTGAGCTACCAAATCTATTGACTACTGAGGTGTCAGTCCTAACACAACCCAAAGTGTGACCCCAGTGATAATGGGGATCAACAACAGCCAGATCATTATGGGAATATGCTGCTCAGAGGCATGAGGGAAGTAAGCCAGCCACCAGTCAGAAGGGGAGTGGTGAGTGGTGCTGCCTGGCAAAGAGGGATACATCTGCAAGCCTCATAAAATGAGTTGGGATGAGGTTTTTCTTTTTTATTCTCTAGAAGAATTTAATGTAGTTTATTGCTTAAATGATTAGGAGAATTCACCAGTGAAACCCATCTGGGCCTGAACTTTCTTTTGTGGAAATCATTTTTTTCAGTAGCTATTCAGATTTCAGTTTTCCTTTTATGCCAAGGTTTGGCAAGTTTTGTTTTTCAAGGAATTTGTCCATTTCATAGTTACAAATTGATTGATCCAATGTTATAATATCCTTTTGTTAATGTCTGGAGGTTCTAGGATCTGTAATGATGTTCCATTTTTATTCCTGATATTATTTTTGCCTCCTGTCATTTTTACCTGATCACTCTTTCCAAGGGGTGTATACATTTCACTGGTATTGTCAAATAACCCACTTTGGGTTTTATTGATTTTTCTCTATCATATATTGGTCTTATATTGATTTTTTGTTGTTTATTTTGGGGCCTGCTGTTGCCATAGCAGGAGCCACAGCCAGCTCCACAGAATTCGGAAGGCCTGGCAAGTATGGAGGAAGACCCTTGCTTTCCCCTGGAGGTGCTGAGAGTTTAATTCCAGAGGAAGTAGGGGAGTTATTTCCCTGTATTGGCAAAGGTTCTAGTTTTTGAGTAGGACTAAAGGACCTCACCTCTCTTGAAGGAGAAGTAGAGAGGCTTCTTCTCATTCCCTTCCCTACAAGTCCCCACATGACTGGTTCTTCCTCTCCAGGGGCTTCTAGAATTAGCAACGTTGTTCCCTTTGGTCCTTTGACCAATTACATATCCTGCACTTCTTCTGTAAGGCTGGGTGTTGATAGAGGGCCATAAGACATTATACATAAGGTATTTTATCCCATTTACCTTGTTTCTTACAAAATAAGTCCCAGTTGGAGAATTGTATTACTAATGTATGTAAGTAACTCATGTTCAGACCATCTCTCCTGATTCCCTAGGGAACAATGGGGCCACATGGCATTACGGTAATATATCATTTGCTTTTTGGTCATGGATATGGGCATCCAAATAGTTTTCAGTGCCGGAGGAGCCACTGTAACGGGCTCTCCTCCAGTATTGAGACCTGGTTCCCCATATTGAGACCTGGTTCCCCATATTCTAGGGTCTTTGCCCAGAAGGCTGATTCCACTCTCCAAGGAGCTTCCACTGGGGATTGGTGATGACACAAATCCTGTAACTCTTAGCCTGTAGGATATTTCTGGTCCTTTCAGCTTGCCACTACACCCAGGCCACCATGGAGTGGAGGTACTGGGGAGCTAGGAGAGGATAATAGGGGTTGCCTCTCCCTGGATCATGTTCAGTCTGGGTAGCTTCGCTGGAGATCTCATGGAGATTCCAGAGTAGTTCTGGATCCAGCTTGAGTGGTGGGAGGTATGTAAATCAATCAAGTAAGCAAGGTGTTCTTTCGGGAGAGGGTGCATGCTCTGCTCATGTAAACTCTACATCACTGTATTTTGGTTCCAGGAATTATAATCCCACCCAAACTGCACCATTCTAAATTAGGCCTCTTCAAATCAATAACAGTTCTTCTGTGACTGCTGGAAAATGGAAGCCCACTATTTTAGGGATTACCACAGACTAAGGGGAAGGGAATCCAGACTTCACATGCATTCAGGTCACAAAGATGCATAAGTATTGCCAAAAGTGACAAGCATTCAGCCTACAGATATACCAGACAGGGACAAAGTCTTGAAGATGAGACTCCTCGTCTATATTAGGGCTTCCCCTTGTTAAAATGGATGAAGATGTCTCTCAACTCCTAGACCTGAAGGGGAGTCCTGCCCGTTCCCAACAATCCTGGATCCCTTGAGCTAGGTCCTAAACCTGACAACCCAGAGTCCTAATAATCAAAACCAAAACCACTCTTTTAGTCAGTTCACAGAACCACCACCACTTACTGCCTCAAAGTTGCACCAAATGAAAGGTCCAAGCAGCCACTTCTGCTCTCCTGGTGGGGGCGGAAGGGGGTCCCTGAGCCCCTTCACCAATCTCCCTCTCGGCAACTTAGGCAACTTAACCCACTCATGCTTCCTCAGACTGCTGCTTCGCCTGTGAGCAAGCCTATAAGAGAGATCGAGTCAGGGCTCAGTCCATAGTCCCATCTGGATCAACCAGATTTGTTTCCCAGGCCCTCCCACCCCACCACCTCCAAAAAAAAAGCAAGGTTTGTTTGCCTGGTGAGTAACAAAAGTTGCTGAGAACACAGGTTTTGATCAATAGGAGTTTTATTACTTGTCGCAAGTAGGAAGAGCACTAAGAATATTTGCCAAAGCAGTGTCTCTTAAGAAAAAATGACAGGAAGGCTTTATGGAGTGATCAGTGATCGAGAGGGGAGAAGATGCATCATCACATGAAGAGGAGGGGTCCCAGTGACACAGATGTAGGGAATCATCGTGCCACCACATAGGACGCATGCTATGGTAATGAAACTATAGCTCTCCCAAGGTGCAGGATTTAGCATTGTAATGAGGAAAGTTCACTGTAAGTGAGTTCATCTATAAGTTGCTGGGGTCTGTCAGGAGCAGGTTCCAACTGACTAGGTGACCACATTTCACACAGGATTTGAGACAAAACCGTCTGCAAGGCAGAAGGCTCTAAAACAGGCTAATTACTCAAACTCATTAAATTCCTTCACTCCCTGAGGGCCCGCCCTGTCTTGTCTGTACAGCCAGTCCTTAGAAAGTGAGGCCAAGCTGAACTGTTGACCCAGTCTATGTCTTTACGAGTCTGGGAGCTGGGTGATTTTACCTCCAATACTAGACTTATTTTTACTGGTTCTGAAGCCTTGCTTACAGCCCTTTCCCAGTTTCTCACGAAATACTCATGAAAGGGGATGGTGGGGAGTGGGCATGGGAAAAAGGGAATGGTATTAAAATTAAAGCTAGCATCATTGGCCTCCAGGGGGCACTCATGGCTCATCTCCATAGCCCTTGGCTCTTGCAGCTGCCCAAGATGAGGGTCCTGATCTAAGGAGACTCCACCACCACCAAGGCTGGGGTGGTGGCAATGGGGGCATTATTTTCCAAACCTGACTAGGCCACATTTTAAGTCGATCATAGTCACAAGGAACATAGATGTGGACTATTAATTTTCTTTGCCTGAGCAGCCGTAGCCCTATGTGCTCCTCTCCAGCCTTTCAGAGAGCTATGATGGGCCAAAAAATGCTCAGTAGCCCAAGCCATCTCCCTGCATAGACACTAGAGTAAAATCTCTGCCTATGTGCGTGTGTGTCTTACTCTGTCCTGGACTTGTTTCCTACAGTGCTGGTGGCTTTACTTTGGATACTCTGATTGTTGCGGAGATGAGACCCAAGGCTCCACTCTGGAGAAAATAGAGCCCTCTTGAGAGGTCAGCCAAACTTGCTAGACTTCTTATGCGGTTTGGGGTTCAACGTTCTGGCCTGTCCCCCGAAAGTCATGGCCAAATTCACATATTCCTTTGATCCCTGATGCCATCTCATCACAGTGTTCGTCTGGCCTCACCATTGCTACACTAAGTCCAGGAACCTCAAGGAACTATGAGACAGGTAGGGCTAGACTTAACAAAATGGCTATCACAGTCTTCATTTCATGAGACAGAGGTGAACTGAGAAAAGGTGGAAGGTGCTTCAGAGACTTCGCCGTATTCATCCCTAACTTAGGCAGAGAGCCTTGGCCACACAGGAAACTGGGGAAGACCCTTCTCATACTCAGGAGTCCCCCACACTGGTGCCGTCTTACAATAGGCAGGCATCAGTTCCAGAGCCAATCAAACAATTAGGAATAAGTAACATTGCTCCAGAATTTGTTGGGGTTTTTCTTCCCCTGAATTTGGTAGTAAGCTCCACAAAGGCAAGAATGACAACCATCTTGTTCTCCTTGTTTCTTTGGAGCATAACACAACATGTAGCACGTGGTTGGCTCAATAAGAATTTGTTGAATGGTGGCCGGATGTGGTGGTTCATGCCCGTAATCTGAGCACTTTGGGAGGCTGAGGTGGGAGGATCGTTTGAGGCCTGGAGTTCAAGATCAACCTGTCCAACATAGTGAGACCCCTATCTTTTTTTTTTTTTAAGTGGGTTTTCTTGAATGGCACACAGAAAATAAACAAGCAAAATGAGAGATCAGAGATGCTGGAAAAGACCAGGGAGATCTGATGGTTAAATCAGATCATCTAAATGTTGAGGAGACATTTGGACATCTGATAGAGTTTGGCATTGAATAAGTGATAATACACAGAAAACTGAACAATGGCAAAAAGAAAAGTATCAATTCTAAGGGAAAAGATTCAAATCAAAAGCCTTCAGGAAAGGATAAGTCATCATGGTTTACTGTATAGCTTAGCTTAAAATGACACAGAATAGTGGAGTAGCCCAAAGGGCCATCTAACCACACTGGGAAGCTGAGCAGGGGAGGAGTGCGTATATGCATGGAGGAGACTTGTCTTCACCCTCAGCAGCTGAGAGCAGACAGGCTAGACCTGGACAATGGAGCAGGAGCCACACAGCCTGTGAAACATGTGCCGGGGAATGTAGAGGCTGCTGTTTCACATGACAGAGCCGTCAAACCCTGGCTGTTTAAAAGGGGTACATACATAATTTTAATAGAAATAAAAACCAAAAAGAAAAAAGGCTTAAGTGAGAAAGGCAAAACCATTACAATTTTTAGAGGAAAACATGAGAGTAAGAACAGAAAAATGTCTAAAGGGGCAAAGTGCTAACCATAAAGAAAAAGACTGATAAATTCATCTTGATAAATTTTTTATCAAAAGGCACCATAAAGACAGTGAAAAAACAAGGCTCAAAATGGGAGAAGATAATTGCAGCACATCTGACCAGCAAAGAGTTTGTATCCAGAATATATAAAGAACTTCTATGAGTCAGTTTTTTAAAAACACAATTTATATTTAAGTCTCTTTAAAACAAATAGATAATTCATAGAAATATGGTGATATGGTTTGGCTGTGTCCCCACCCAAATCTCATCTAAAATAGTAGCTCCCATAATTTCCACATGTTGTGGGAGGGACCCAGTGGGAGGTAATTGTATCATGGGGTGGGTTTTCCCCATGCTGTTCTCGTGATAGTAAATAAGTCTCATGAGATCTGATGGTTTTATAAAGGGCAGTTCCCCTGCACACCCTCTCTTGCCTACCGCCACGTAAGATGTGTCTTTGCTCCTCCTTCACGTTCCGCCATGATTGGTCTGCACCCAAATCTCATCTTGAATTATAGCTCCCATAATCCCCATGTGTTGTGGAGGGACCTGGTGGGAGGTAATTGAATCATGGGGGCAGGTTTTTCCCATGTTGTTCTCATGATAGTGAATAAGTCTCATAAGATCTGAGGGTTTTATAAAAGGCAGTTCCCTTGCACACGCTTTCTTGCCTACCATCATGTAAGATATGCCTTTTTCTTTATAAATTACCCAATCTTGGGTATTTCTTCATAGCAGTATGAAAATGGACTAATACACATGGGCTAAACTCATGAGCAGGCAACTTTATAGAAAAACACAAATAGCTCATAAACACAAAATATAGATTGAGTTCATTATTAATTAGGGAAATGCCTTTTATGGATAGAATAAAATACCTTTTTACACTCCCTGGATTGGCACAAAGTTTTGTCTGACAGTCTAAATGTTGACAGGGATGTTGATTAACTGGAATTCACACACTGCTTGAGGAAGCTTGCATTCACTCTGTCATTCAGCACTTCTGAAAAGTGCACACCAATAATCAGCCCAGGAAGGTTCACAAAAACATCTTCAGCAAAGATGTCCTTTCACCCTAGCAAAGAACCAGAAACAACTCAACTCAAGTGTCCTTTGACAAGAGAATGGGTAAAAAGCAAGTGGTATGTCATGCAAAAGAGTTCTAGACAGAAGGGAAAATTAAAGAACATCAAAGTTAGTAAGTCTTCGAGATGATGTTGAGTAGGAAAAAAACTACAGAAAATATATTGTATGATACTTTCATCATAAGGTTCAAAAGCAAGCCAAGGTAAACATGTTGTGCATGGACACCTAGGGACCCATGTCATTTTAGGATCAAACATAGATGGATAGATGATAGATAGAGAGATGGATTTTTTTTTTAACTCAAAATAGTGGGAGCTAGGATTGGAGAAGAGACACTTAGCTTTGAAAGTATTGTCAAATGTAGTGACCTTTCTAGTTCATTCAGGTGCTGGGTTCAGGGGTATTCATTTTATTATGCACCATAATTTATGTGAGATGTTTTATTATATCAAATATGTTCTAATCTTACAGTAAGCAGTTGTTAAACAGATTTATAACTACATATAATGTGTGGGTCTTATGAACAATGCTGCTGTGAATATCAGCACCCAACTACACTTGTCTCTCACGGCCTTTTGTAAGCCTGCTTAGTTGAGGAGTTTCTTCCTTATACTGGAGATGAGAACTCAGGTAATGCCTCGACTGTTCTGATCACTGTTAGGGGATTACACATTCTACCCAGCTGACTTTTCACTGAAAGCCCAGTCTCCACTCAATAAGTAAAAGTGTAATAATCGAAACTCCCAACTTGAGTTCCACTTAAAATCTTCTCTCTTCCCCTGCCAGGCCTCTCTGCACCACCTAGGGGAGCATAGTCCCCTCTGTCCCTGCCTGACAGGGCTCTCCTCCTCAGCAGCACAGGGAGGTGTCTGACCCATCTGTGTGTGTGTGTCTATGTGGTAGGGATGGGGACCACAGCTTGTCGTCCTGCCCTCTCACCCTGGCTGTTCATTGTCTCAAGCTGACTTTCTTGGGTGTTTTCATGGCTTCTTCTGAGGCCTCCCTCTGGAATATTGGATCGTAACTCCAGCAATGCAAGCAATAGGTTTTCCTCCAGCTTCTGGTCCTCCTCCTCCTCCTCCTCCCCAAATCTGGTTTCTAGCAGTCACTCCACTGAGACTCAGAGTCTTCTTGGCCCAGTGCCAGCCTCTTGCATGTCCCAAATCTTGTCCTCAGGAAACACTTATGCATCCTATGCTGGGGTGAACTCTTAAGAGTGCAGGATCACCTCATGGCCACAGCCTAGCTAGGCCCTGAAACCCACACTCAGGGTTTCTCAGATATGAGTCAGCCCCAGGCCACTGAACCTCTCCCATTGCAGGGAATCCCTGTCAAGTGGTGAAAGCCAGCATCTAGACCTGGAGTCACAGGCACCTGTAGCATAACTCCTCCTGAAATGGAGGTTTTTCTTTAGAGATTGGTCCATATCCCTTATCCCTGGACTTCTGAGAAGGGTGGACAACCTGTGGACTGGACTTGAGTCTGGAATTTAGAGAAGTGTCCATAGTAGGGCTGCCAGATGAGGCAAACACAAATACAGGATGCCCAATTAAATTTGAATTTCAGATAAATGATTTTTAATGTTTGATTCTGTCCCATGCTAAAAATTGCCCACTCTTTGTGATAAATTTAAATTTATTGGTCCATTCTGTACTTTATCAAGGACACACGCAGGAGGAACAGTAGCACAAAGGCTTCCCGGTGCCTTGTGGGTGAAAGAAAGGCTTCCAGGGAAAGGAGAGAAACACCCAGGGATCCCGGTGACGTCGGGAAGCAGCACCCAGACCATGTAAGGACACCGCCTGCAGGGGGAGACTCAAGGCCTGGGAAGATTTTCTAATCTGTGCCTTGAGTCGGGTGGGGGGATTTTCTGGGAAAAGAAAACCAGACACAGTAGGACAAATATTGTATAGTTTCACTTATATGAAATTGTCAGAATAGGCAAGTTCGTAGAGACAGAATGTAGAACAGGGCTTTCCGGGGGCTAGAGGAGAAGACAAGGAGTTCTTGCCTAGTGGGTACAGAGTTTCTGTTTGAAATGATGAAAAACTTCTGGAAATAGATTGTGGTGACAGTTACACACCATTGTGAACATAATTAGTACCACTGAACTGTACACGTTAAAATGGTTGTATGTTATATATATTTTACCATAATAAAAACTAGGGGGAAAAAAAGGAAGGGGAGATTGTCTCAGGCTGGCTGACTTTCCCTGCATGTACGCACATCTTCACATGTGCACACATGTAAAACAAAAATGAAGCAAAAAAAGAAATTCTAATTTAACCAGTAAGCAATATGTAAAAGGAAATCTGAATGTCATTACAATTTTACCAGGTTCAGAATAAAATACCATCCTTCAAACTGAACAAATTACTTATTAGCTGAAGAGAGCTGAAAGGAAGTTTGGAATTAACAGTCTAGATTTTCTCACTAATGGGTCCAAGTCATTGACCTCTAAAATTATCTTAGAACATGCCCTCCCTCCTTCCTACTTTCTGGAAAACTATCAGTCTCCTACCCTATGCTTGCCCATAGAGTTCCATGTACAAATCACAAATCTGCATTTGCCGTTCCCTGGAAGCCCTTACATTCCCAAGGGCTGGCCTCATCCACTGCCACCGAAAACAGCCCCAGTTCAGGCAAAGCAATCACTCCCTCTCCCTCTCTGTCATTCCTTTCTTTTCCTTTCACTATCTCTCTACCCTCCTCTTCCCCACTCTCTGTTTCCTCTCTCTCTCTGTCTCTCTCTCTCCCCCACCATCTCCTCTCTCTTTCTCTCCCCCTGCCTTCTCTGTCTCTCTCTCTGACACACACACACACACACACACACACACACACACACACACACACACACACCGCAGCAACATTCTACCTCAGCCAGAGTTCCAGGCCAATAGGTGTGGACTTTGACTTCCAGATTCCTCTGGCAAGTGTCAACATCAGTCCTGGTGCTCCCTGGCAGAGAAGGACTTGGAGTCACCTTGGCCAAGAAGCTGTCTGGAGGTCACAGTGGCACCGCCCATCGGCCCCTTGGCCGGAGCTAGGTGAGGGCAGATTCAGCACAGCAGCAACTCTCCCCATAAAAAAATCCCTCAGTGTCTTCTCTAACCCTTCTTATACTCCTTGTGAGTTTTAGAGCCACCTAAACTCTTCTTTTTTCCCAATACATGGAGACAAAATTTACATAACATACAGTTAGCCATTTTCAAGTATACAGTTCCCTGCCATTTGGTACATTCACAGTGTTTTGCAAGCAACACCCATATCAAGCCCCAAAACATTTTCATTACCCAGGAAGGAAACCTGTCGTCATGGAACCGTCACTCCTCACATCCCCTTCCCCTCAAACCCTGGCAACCCCAAACCGTTCTTGACAGCCTCCTTTGGCATTTCCTCATTTTGGTGTCAGATCTCACAGCAGAATTTCTTACCTATTATATCCAGTGCCTCAGTGTGAAGTTCCGGTTTAACTTCTTGTTACCACGAGCCCACTATCTTGCCCCAATAATACCCTCCCCCAATTCACAAACACACAAGCATTCCCTCCTACAGCTTTGGGCCTCCTATCTGAGTCCTTCAGGAAAGAAGTGCTTGTAACTCCCTTGGCAGTGAGTGTAGACTTGGTCCAAGGAAGATGAGCACCAGTCAGGGCAGCTGGTCCCTCTTCTCTCCCTGGCCATCAGCAAATCAGCACTGCCCATCGATGCCCAGGCAATGGGAGCGTCGACCAGCAGAGGACACACCTGAATTTCTCTGCCTCATGGGAGGGTGGCTGCTGTGTTGCATTTAGGAAGAAGCTGTGCAAGATTCATACTGTTTTGCTAATGTTAATCTTGTGGGCATAATAAACGTCGTACCCACACTTATTTTTCTAGATCAGACAAGATTGGGTGTGTTCAGGGTGGTATGGCCATAGACCCCACACTTTTTTTTTTTTTTGAGACGGAGTTTCGCTCTCGCCCAGGCTGGAGTGCAGAGGTGCAATCTCGACTCACAGCAACCTCCGCCTCCCGGATTCAAGCCATTCTCCTGCCTCAGCCTCCAGAGTAGCTGGGATTACAGGCATGCGCCACCACGCCTGGCTAATTTTGTATTTTTAGTAGAGATGGGGTTTCTCCATGTTGGTCAGGCCGGTCTCGAGCTCCGGACCTCAGGTGATCCGCCTGCCTCGGCCTCACAAAGTGGTGGGATTACAGGCGTGAGCCACCGCGCCTGGCCGACCCCACACTTAGTTTTAATACACTTCTAGGCAAGGCTGCTGCACTGGTCTGGGGATCACACTTTGAGTAGCAAAGGACTAAATTGCAATAACTGCCGGGGGGGGAGAAAAAAAACAGGATGAACTGCTTCCTCCTGGCTCAGCAGCTAGGGAGTCACTGAACTAACAAGGGGATGGGGTGGGGATAAGAATGTTCCAGGCAAAAGGAACAACATGCCCAAAGGCCTCAAGCAGAAAGAGAGCTTCAGGTATTGAAGAAGTAGAAGTAGCTCTGTGTGGCTGGGGAGTGGGCATAAGATGGAGCAGAAGAATGCCAAGTCCTATTCCTGGGTCTGAATTTCCAGGAGCAGAAGCCCTGTCCCCTCTAGAAGGTGGATATAGTCTGGATATTTGTCTTCAAATCTCATGTTGAAATGTGACCCCCAGTGTTAGAGGTTGGACCTAGTAGGAGGTGTTTAGATCATAAGAACTGGATCCCTCCTGAGTGGTTTGGTGCCCTCCCTATGATTGATTGCTCTATTAGTTCATGTGAGAGCTGGTTGTTTAAAAAAGCGTGGCATCTCTCTGGTTCCCTCTCTTGCCATGTGACACAACTGCTCCCCCTTCACCCTTCCCCATGAGTAAAAGCTTCCTGAGACCCTCACCAGAGGCACATGCCAGCAGTGTGATTCTTGTACAGCCTGAAAAACTGTGAGTCAAATAAACCTCTTTACATTATAAATTACCCAGTCTCAGATATTTCTTTATAGCAATGCAAAATAGACTATCACAGAAAGTTGGTACGGAGGTGTAGGGCGTTGCTATAAAGATATCCGAAAATGTGGAAGTGGCTTTGGAACTGGGTATGAGGCAGCGGTTGGAAAGAGTCTGGAGGGCCCAGAAGACAGATGAGAAAAGGTTTGGACCTTCTTAGAGATTTGTAATGTCGTTGTAACCAAAATGTGGACAGAAATATGTACAGTAAAGGCCAGCCTGATGAGGTCTCAGATGGAAATGAGGAAGTTATGGGGAACTGGAGCAAAGATCACCCTTGTTATGCCCTAGCAAAGAACTTGGCTGCATTGTATCTATGTCCTAGGGCTTTGTGGAAGGCTGAACTTAAGAGTAATGACTTAGGGTATCTGGTAGAAGAAATGTCTAAGCAGCAAAGCATTCAAGAAATGGCCTGGCTGCTTCTAATAGCCTATGATCAGATATTGGAGCAAAGGACTGACTTAAATTTGGAACTATTAAATCAAACTAAAATCTGGCCTGAGAAAGCCTCCTCACTCCCATACTTGAGTCCTTAAGGATGAACCATAACCTAACTTTGTAGGTAGGACGACTGAAAACCTAACTTAGAAGGATGCTTCTGTAGCAATAACTGAGCCTCAGCCAATCTCAGCAGCCATACTTCAGTACTCACAGGCAGCCTATTGTTCAAACCATGTTCAAATAAGGCAAACACCATGCTGTAACCAATTTGGCTATTTCTGTACCTCACTTTGGTTTTCTGCATGTCACTTTCCTTTTTCTATTCATAAGGTTTTTTCCGACCACATAGCATCTCTGGTGTTGCTCTGAATCTGCTGTGATTCTAGGGACTGCCTGATTTGTGAATTGTCTTTTTTTTTTTCTCCTCAATTAAATTCTGTTAAATTTAGTTTGTCTAAGGTTTTTCTTTTACCAGATCTGGTGTTGGAAGTGCAGTTTGAAGTAAAACTCTGGTGACCTACAGGAACACCAGGTGACCAGGCCAGTTGTGCTCACTGATCTTTTGATTGTAACTGGAGGTTGTAGATGGGTTTTCTCTTGGATTCAGAGTTCCACTAATTTGTGTTCTAATTGGAGCTCTCCAAGTTTATTTGAGCAATATTTAAGTGGACTGGGTTCAGGATCAAATTTGAATCAATTAACTGGATTGGGTTCTGTTAGAGCCTCAGACCTCTACTAGGCACTTTTTTTTTTTTTTTTTTTTTGATAATGGGTTTGTCTCAATCCAAGGATTCTAGGAATCTACCTTCTGGGACTCCATCTAATTTTGTATATAAAATTTTAGGCCCAGAATGTGTGCATCTTTAGAAAAACAGATTAACCTTACTAGAGAAAAGATGGCCACAATGGGGAAGTTTTAATTTGTATAAAATTGTTTATTTGCAAGGCATATTAGAAAAAGGGGGATCAAAACCCCACAAAAACATTGGGATATAGTCTTTCATTGGTACATGGAAGCCTCTAAAAGACTAAACGAATGAAAAATTCCCTCCTTAAAAGATACTTTGCAAAAGCAAATGAACAGTTTAAGCAACAGGCTAAGGACATGATGAAAGAGAACTGTACTCTCACTGAACTAACCCCAACTGATTCTTCTCTTTATCCATCTCTACCTACGTACTCTGAGTCTACTAACCTTTTTGCTAGATCAACCTTTCACTCTGAAGATGATGAAAAAGGAGGAATTAGATGTACGCCTCACAAAGGAAGACCTTCTGATTATCCAGGCCTGCCTGCTATAACCACTTTCACTCCATGGTCTAAAACTGAGCTTAGAGCTATTTTAGAAGACTTCCCTGATCTAAGAGAAAATCCTCAAAACTTGACTAAGGAGTTTAGACTCCTCATAGGAGACTATGATCCAGGACTCCCTGACAAAGGTTCATATGACAATTTATTCATATGATATGGAGGCCTGGTGAAGCTCAAAAATGGATGGCAGCAGCAGAATGGAAGAAACCTGAGAAAGATATTAAAACCCCCCCCCCCGCACCCCCCCCCCGCACCCCCCCCCCCCACACACACACACACAAAGCCTCCTCATGAGAAGGCCCAACAGGAGCTAGAAATATTGCTGAAAATCCCAGCCTGGGCAACATGGCAAAAGCCTGTCTATACGAAAAATACAGATAGTTAGCTGGGCATGATGGCACATGCCTGTAGACCCAGCTACTTATGAGGCTGAAGTGGGAGGATCACCTGAGCCTGGGAGCTTGAGGCTACTGTGAGCCATGACTGTGCCACTGCACTCCAGCCTGGATAGCAGAGCAAGACCCTGTCTCAAAAAAAAAAAAAAAAAAAGGAAAAAAAATTGCTGAAAATCTTTTAAATTCAAATACTAAATTTTTTCCACAAAAGTTGATTGGTACATCATACAATCTTGTAAACCAAAAAAAAAAAAAAAGAATGAACCAGTGTCAGATTACAGAACTTGCTTAGAAATAATGTGAAACATTCTGGGCTTAAAGTACTAACAAGGAGTATTTCCTGCAGGGACTGAAATGGTATTAACTA